>NC_000011.10:34756969-34908484 GCF_000001405.40 Homo sapiens | reverse complement strand
AAGAAAACCAAGATGCATAGAGAGACAAGTGCAACAAGTGTGCAGAATGAAACGAAGACCAAGGACAGAGAGAAAGTATGACTCATCTTTACTGTGCCTGCATTCAGTCCCTTCCTGAGCCCAGTGTCAGGAAAATAAGTGAAAGACTTTGAAACAAACAAAAAGAGTATTTACTGGGTATCTTGGAGTTATTATTATGCTATTTTACAACTCTCAGTTGTGGAATCCTGGCAGTTAACGCAGGTGATTGTTGTTCATGGAAATGCAAGTTGTGTTCAATGGAGATTCATTTTATTGTTAACCTGTGGACAGTATCCAGTTTTGCTAAGTCAGGATTCCTCGTTACTTATATTATGTATGTTTTGAATTCTCCTTTTGAATCAGTTGTAACATCTTACTAGTTTCCCCATTTATTGATGAGTTACTAATCTCATGCATGTTATTTTATACTTGTATGAGAGTCTTCCAGGAAAACCTGTATCTGAGGAATATATGCCTATATTTGCTTAAGTTGAAAGAAAAGATGGGGGAGGGGATTAGAGCCATTGTTGGCTGTGAGTAGTATCTCGGAGACAAGCCAGGCTGATTTCCTTAAAATAACTAGATTGAAAAATTGGAAAAATTAATACCAAATCAAAACTTGTTAGACATTAATGATTTTGATATATACAAAATGCTGTTAAATGTGTTTCCTCCTCACTGTAGAACCTCTACTATAAATAGTTGATTGTAATCAATCTTTAGATACACATTTCAAAATTATTATTATAACTGAAAACCAGATCTAACAATAATAGGAAAGTAATATTGACATTCAGGAGAGAACTAGATACCAATTGAACCTTTCCTTCTTGTCAATTCTTGTTAAAATATATGTTCTGGTAGTTACTTTCTTCTGGACAGTTTAAATGACTTCATTTTCACCAAGTATATCTCTGTTGGTGCCTGCTAAGTGATAATCTCTTTGAAATTTTAATTTTATGGGTCTCAAGGATTGAAAATGTATTAACAGCAGCTGCCTTGTCATTGTTATTGCTTTAGCTTGAAGCTGGCTAATTGCTGTAATATCGCAGCACTGGAAAAGACAAAAGAGAAAGGGGAGACCTGTAATAAAAGACCATTTTCTGTAATGTGTGCTATTTGCTGTGCAAATTGATGGTTTTAAGGGTTGGAAGACTGCAGGAGTCTTCCCATTAGCTGTACTTTAAAATGTAGTTAAAATATCACTTATATCCCTAAATAAGGAAGTAGCAAATTATACAGGCATAGGTAATTTGGGCTAGATTTCTTAAGGACGGATATAAGAAATACCAACATAGTTTTTCCTTAATAACTCCTGTAATATTCCCTTCCTGAGGAGATGTCACCCTAACTGCTGTTAGGGGGTTTTGGGCAAGAACTCTTTCTGGCTACTTCCTGCCGAAAAGGGACATCAAGTGGGGAACAACAGCTAGGGCTCCTCCTGGGGTTGATCTAAGGGTCCTCGGAAGAATGGCACGTCCACGTGTGGTTCGGTTTGCAGCACCATTTGGATTGATTGCTTCTAGGCAAGAGGAAATGATTTGAGTTATAGTATTGAGTATGCAAGGTCCAAATATTAATACAAGACATATAAGTAGGAGTGGACTTAATAAAGGAGCTAACCAATTCCATAAAGAAGACTAGAATTCATTAAAGAGGAATTGTAGCCACCCGGGGCTGAAGCCTGCGTGTTCTTGTAGCCTCTTAATGATTTTGATTTGATCTTTAGGTAGCTGTAGATTTTCCTCTGCTTTACTAGAGGTGTTAATCCAGAAGCAGCATGTTTCATTTATAAGTGCACAGGTACCTCCTACTTCAGCTGTGAGGACGTCTAAGCCCCGTCTATTCTGTGCTGCTACTGTGGTGAAAGAGTCTGTAGATTGCTGTCGTGCCTCTATGGTACCTACAGTTGCCTTCCACCCTTGTTGCATCATAATAGAAATAGTAAGTACTGATCTTTCAAGGAGAGGGAAGCCCGTAATCCAGACTAGACCTCTGGCTATAGAATTTCCCATTCATGGTTTTTCTAAGATGGGATTGTCATGTGCATGCCCTCCCCAGTCTGCTCTTTCAGTTAAATCTCCCTATGAGGGCATAGAAATGATAGATCTCTTTCTCTGGTGTATTCAAGATAGTGTAGTCTCTAGAAAAGAGCCTCAATTAGGGATGACTCCAGATGATGCTGCCATCTTGGTAGAATTTAAAAATAATAAGTCAGGAACTAGTGCTACTATAGTACAAGTTCCCTTCCAATGCCTTGGGAGGATTAAATGTATCCAGGAGCCACAAAAAAAAAAGTAGCCCTGTTCCTTGAAGAGACAGTTCTAAATTGTGGCTTGTGAGAGACACCGGCAGATTTTTCTGATATCTTAGAAGTTTCCCTTCTTTACATATAATAGGGGCATCCTTGGGATAAGGATATCCATATTTACAATATTTACGATGCCATTTGGAATTCGACATGTCAAGTGAGAAGCGTCCACCTGACAAATGGAGTTTCGAAAAATTAGAGACATAATATGCCCTGGCCAGTATCTCAGATGATCCTGTGGCAAGGGCTGTCAGTCCAGATGCCTCCAGTTTGCCCACAGATCTGTAAGCCGCTACTATTAGCAAACATGATACAACGGTCTGGAATTCCATGAGGGGGCATGTTTGGAAAGGCCCATCTGTTATTCTTTACAATATAGTCAAGGTGGTTACTTAGAGCATGCCACTCCCATCGGGGCTTCCAACCAGAATGAGAGGCTAGATTCTGAAAGCCCCCCAACTAGGGCTTCTAATCCTTTTAGATCACCCTTGTTGCACTCTCCTCCCTAAATATTTGAACTAACATCAATTACAAGTATGATGTTACAATATTTGAGATCTCCCAAGCATGGTCCTTCCTCGCTGCTTTTAAAGCAGAGAGAGGCATTTGCTGTTACTCAGTCTTGTCCCAGCCTGAGGATGTGAAGCTTATCTTCAGGCAGAGTGTTCTCCGGCACTGGGAGCAGAGTGTTGCTCCCATACCATGTCCAATTTATGCCTGCTAGGTCTTTAAGGGTAAAGGTAAAGCCAATAAAGGGAATCCTAAAACAGTGAATTCTGGGTCATTGTAAGTTTCCTTAGCGTCACTGAACTGAGCAAACCACTTAGGACAGACCCAACAATTAGTCTTGTTGTACAAATGGACCATGGCAGATATTGCAGGAGCTAAAGGGTGTGATGTATTACTAAGTCCGATAAAAAGTCCTAATAGACTGAGTGATAGTAAAACGCTCATGTTTACTTCCTTTTCATAACTGTTATTCCTGCTATGAGGATAATAATTAAGCAGAATGCTACAGTAATTGAGATTATCTGTCTGATATTCCACCCTGAGGGTGCTACAGCATATAGTCCTACTGCAAATAGTAGAGTGAGTAAAACAATTCCTGCAAGGGTGGCGTAGTAAATAATTTCCATCAAAAAGAAGTTCTAATATTTGGCAGCGAATCTCAAAAGGAGAGGTGGAAATGGCAAGAAGTATTTGGTGAGGTAGGGGTGAGACTAAGATAAGTAGTTTTCATTCAGTTACTTTTGTGATTTTCAGCTTAAGATCTCCTCTTTCTTTATATTGATATTCAAGGCATTCCTCTGGGTTGTCAGGGGTTGCTCCCTCAGGTCTCCAGGCTTTGACTCCAATATAATGTATCCAGGAGTCGATTCCTGTAACTTTTATTGCCTAGGGGCTTGAAAGAAGAACAGTGTAAGGTCCTTCCCAGCCTGGGCTTAGGGAGGGAGAGAGAGAAGGGAGAGCCTTTACAAGTACCAAATCTCCTGGGTTAAACAGAGGTGGTCCAGTTTCCTGGGGTTGGGCTTTTGCTAGTCGCTTCCTGTTGGAACTGAGCCAGAGAGGTTACATGCTTAACTAGCTCAGAGGTTTCCCAATCTAACAGAAAATCATTGGTAAGAAAAGGCCATCTGTACAGCATCTCAAAAGGGCTAAGACCTAATTTTGAAGGGGTATTTCTTATTCGTTAAGGCCATGGGAATAAGAGTGACCCAAGGAAGGTGAGTTTCTTGGGATAATTTTCAGAGGTGTCTCTTGATAATATCATTAGTTTTCTCCACCTTTCCTGAGAATTGGGGTCTCCAAGCACAATGGAGATGATATTCTATGCCTAGTGCTTTTGAGACCCCTTGTGTGACAGCTGCCTTAAACAAGGGCCCATTGTCACTTTGAAGGTACTTCGGTAGACCAAAGCAGGAAGTTATTTCATTAACTAACATTTTTATTACCTCAGAGGCTCTTTGTGGATGGCATGGAAATGCTTCTACCCAGTTAGTGAAGGTGTCTACCCATACCAGCAGGTATTGAATGCCCTTTGTCTTTGACATGTGGGTGAAGTCTATTTGCCAGTCTTCCCCTGGATAACTTCCTGTTCTTTGGGTTTGAGGAGGAAGGAGTCACATTTTCAGGGGATTATTTTTAAGACAGACTTCACAGGTATTAATAACTTGCTTGACTGTTTTTGGTAAGTTCTCTCCTGAAAACAATCTCTGGGCACGTTGATAAGTTTTATCCTTTCCCAAGTGAAAACCTTGGTGAAGGATTTTAAGGATTTTCCATTGGCTGGAGGCTGGCAAGTGGTGTTTGCCATCCTCTGACTGTAGCCATCCTGAGGACTAAAAGGTATACCCTCGAGACAAAGTGGTCCATTCTATTTCTGTAGGGGAGTACTGAGGTTTAATTTCTCTTATGGAGCCTTCCCAGATTAGAGGGGTGTGAAGTGTGTTGATGTCTTGAGGCTTCCTTGCCACTGATTTAGCTGCCTGATCAGCTAATCTGTATCCTTCGGCTACCTCATCTGTTCCCTTTTGATGTCCCTTGCAATGCATCACTGCTATTTATTGTGTAAGAAAAACTGAGGATAATAACCTGTTAATTTCCTGGTGATATTTTACAGGCGGTCCATTGGTGGTAAGGAAATGCCTTTCCTTCCAAATGGCAGCATGAGCATGGAGAACCAGAAAAGCATACTTGGAGTCAGTGTAAATGTTAGCTCTCTTTCCTTTGCTTAATGTGATTGCTTTTGTAAGAGCTATTAGCTCAGCTAATTGAGCACTTGTGCCTGGAGGGAGAGATGCACTTTTGGTGACGTCATTTAGAGTGACCATTGCATATGCATACTCCTTGTTCTACAAAAGAGCTCCCATCTGTGGAGAGGGTCCAGTCTGAGTTCTCTAGGGAAGTTTCCCCAGTATCTTCCCTTGCTGCATAGGTCTGTACTATGACTTGTTCATAATCATGCACAGTTTCCCCAGTTTCCTTGGGGAAGAAGGTGGCTGGATTTAGATGAGAACAAGTCTTTAATTGGATGTTGGAACCTTCTAACAGCAGGGCCTGATATGTAAGGAGTCGGCTGTTAGCCCAAAGGCTCCCCTGTAGAGTGCAGTAGTCCTGCCATGTTATGTGGGGTGTAAACAGTTAAATCATTTCCCAGGATTATAAACAGTTAAATCATTTCCCAGGATTAGTTTGGAGGCTTCTGGGACCAGTAGAGCCACTGAGGCAATGGCTTGGAGACATGCTGGCCATCCTTTAGCCACCAAATCATGTTCCTTACTTAGGTAACCCATTGACTGTTGAGCTGGTCCTCGGGCCTGTGTTAAAACTCCCAGGGACATTCCCTTCTTTTCTGACACATACAGATTGAAGGCCTTCCCTACAGGAAGGCTGAGGGCTGGCACCTTGAGCAAGGCTTGCTTTAGCTGGTTGAAGGCCTTTTGAGCTTCAGGTTCCCAGGTTAAAAGATGAGTTTTAGCTCCCTGAGTTTCTTTTATGAGGTTATATAATGGACGGGCTATTTCACCATACCCAGGTATCCATAGTCTACAAAATCCTGTAATGCCCCAAAATCCTCTTAGTTGCTTGAGGGTTTGGGGGTGAGGGAAGGAGGAAATAGGCTTAATCCTCTCTTCCCCTAATACTCTGGTCCCCTTGGACAGTACTAATCCTAGATACTTCACTGAGGTTTTGCAGAGCTGGGCCTTGGATTTTGAAACCTTATATCCTCTGTTAGCTGAGAAGTTGAGAAGAGCTTCGGTGCCTTCCTGAGAAGCTTCCTCAGTTGGGGCACAGAGCAGAATATCATCAACTAATGCAAGACCCTAACTTGAGGATGAGAGAACTCAGAAATGTCTTGTGACAGTGCCTGTCCAAACAGATGAGGACTATCTCAAAATCCCTGAGGCAGCACCGTCCATGTTAACTGGGCAGTCTGGACGGAAGGAAATCCTCAAAGGCAAACAGGTGTTGAGAATCAGGATGTAATGGTATGCAGAAAAAGGCATCCTTTAAATCTAGGACTGTAAACCATTTAGTTCCCTCAGGTATTTGAGTTAACAGGGTATAGGGATTAGGTACCACTGGATGCATTGGAACTACAGCTTCATTAATGAGGCAAAGGTCCTGAACTAGTCTCTATTCCCCACTGGGCTTCTGCACTCCTAATATTGGGGTGTTGCAGGGGCTATTAAAGGGTTTGAGGAGGCCCTGCATCTTTAGGTTATTAATAACGGCTTCTAGCCCTTTCCTAGCCTCTGGGCTCAGGGGATACTGTCTCTGGTTAGGAAAAGAAGTGAGATCCTTAAGATAGATCTGGACTGGCCTAGTGGTTATAGCTCGACCTATCCTTCCTTGAGTTGCCCACACTTGTAGTTTAATGTTAGCTTCCATCGGGGGAGACAAAGAGTTTGTCCTGGGGCTGTATGGATGCTGGCCCCCATGCAAGCTAGACTATCTCTTCCTAATAAAGGAGCAGGACTTTCAGCCATGATTTTAAAAGCATGTGTAAATAGTAGGTCCCCCCATCTGCAGGTAAGAGGTTGAGAAAAATATCAGGTTAGAATTTTTCCTGAGACACCCCTTATAGTCATACTATGGGAAGAGGGGAGGCCTGGATTAGAGGAGAAGAGAGAGACTGGCTCCAGTATCCAGAAGGAGATCTACCTTCCTTCCTTCCTTTGATTTCCAGAATCACCCAAGGTTCCTGTGCTGTAATGGCAGTCTGAGTCGCTGGAGCTAGGGGTTTGAGCCCCCGGGACCCATCAGTCTTGCTGGACCATCTGTGAGACTGGTTCTGAACCCAGTGACCTCCGTCTCTGGGGGCAGATCTGTCTCCAGTGGTCTCCGCCACAGGCTGGACAGGGTCGAGGTGGCTTTGTCTTGCTACCTGGACATTCTTTCTTAAAATGCCCTGATTTGCCACATCGATAACAGCTAGTGGATGCACCTTGGGGATTCTGGACTTTGCAAGCTTGCACCACTGCTACTAGAGCCTCTGTTGTTTTCCTGTATTTTCCTTTCCTTTTATTGGGCTTCCTCCTGATCCCTATTGTAAAAGACCGAAGTGGCTTTCTTAGGAGGTTTTCTAGGGTACTATCTGGCCCTATAGCTTGCTTTTATAGTTTCCTTTTAATATTGGGAGCTACCTGTGTAATAAACTTGTCCTTGAGAATGAGCTGTCCCTTGATTGAATCGGGATAAATAGGTATGTTTTATTAGTGCCTCTCTCAGCCTTTCCATAAAGGCTGTGGGATTCTCGTTTGGTCTTTGGTCTATCATGGACAGTTTAGAGTAATTGAGAGGTTTGGCCCTGGTTTTCCATGGGCCCTCTAATACACACCTTAAAAGTGCTTCCTTTTCCATTCATTTCCTGAGTTACTGGTGTTCCAGTCAGGGTTGTCTACCAGAACTGCTTCCTTTCCTAGTAGGAATGGAGTTTCCACTTCTTCCTCACCTTCCCTATCTCCTCTTTGTCTCCTCGGTTTGCTACAGGAGGCATGTTGCTCATCTCCATATTTTTCTGCTGCCTGCAGAACTTTCTGCTTTTCAGCTTCAGTGAGGGTCTGACGTAGCAGCAACGTAACATCCCTCTATGTGAGGTCAAATACCTGAGTTAAATTTTGGAAAATTTCTATATACCTACCTGGGTTGTCAGAAAATCGGCCTAAGTCTCCCTTTATTTGCTTAAGGTTCTGTAATGAAAGGGAACTTGAACCCTCATGGCACCATTCCCATCAAGCACTTCCTGCAGCAGTAAGAGTGAAATGGGGAGAGTAGGATATACTGGAAATGGTGGAGCTAGAGGAGCTGATGGTACAATTGGAGGGGGACTGGAAGCATTGGGACATTCAATAGCTGTCTCAGATTGCTCCTTTGGAACCTACTTTAGCTCTGGGAAAGGCCTATGGGCTTGCCTGCCATGGCTGGTAAAAGAACTGGGTCAGTTGTCCAGGACTTGTAAAGGTCTGGGTTTCACAGGGCAAAGAAAGTCTATACATAGGGGACCTCAGTCCATTTGCCCTTCTGTCTATAGAAAAGATCTAACTGTTGGATGACATTAAAATCAAGGCTCCACCAAGCAGGCCAGGTTTGTCCATCTCCAAGATGATAAGAAGGCCATGCCCTTGTGCAATAGACTATGAGGCATTTTTTCTTCAAAGTCTCAGGGTTGAAGCAGTCCCAGTGTTTTAAAATCCACTCCAGGGGACCACATGCTAAAGATGATCTGTTACCCGTTTAGAAAGAGAAGTGAGAATAAAAGTGTCCTTTTAGTCTCCTTCCTTTCTGTATATGACCCAGGGTGGAGAAGAAAACAGTGGGGGCGTCCCCCAACTATTTTCCCTCGCTAGTTCCTAGGTCCCACCTCCCTGTTAAATGTGCTGCCCATGACTGTAGGTGTGACCCTCCAAGCCATGGCACCAGAGGAACTAGACTTTTGGGCCTAGTCGCACTTCCCCAAGCAGCTCTAGTCCTCTGCTTATATTTCCCTTCAACCTCCTAGACTTCTGCGACCTGTGTACCTCCCTAAAAAAAACAGATCTCAAGAAAAACTACGTAATTGGGCAAGGCCCCTTTAATGGAGGGGGTATGCTAGATTGAACTCTATATCCTGCTATTATGGCCCATGCTAAAGCATTTACCCTTAGAAAAATGGTTCCGGTTAACTTCTGGACTTAAAATCCCCTTACTAGCTCAGTACTACCTTAATCAGAGACAGAATAGGTGCCTTAAAGGAACGTAGGAACCAAACGGCCATTTTCCTGCTGATGGGACAATATTGAGACTAAAATTTGGCCACAGAAGACATTTAACTCCTATCTGTTGAAAGCAGAATTTTCCTGTTCACAGAAGAGGCTTAGAGCCCGATTTCTAGTGGTGCAAAAGGAAGCTGCAGTGTTACCATAAAAGAAAAAAAAATGTGCCTCATGAAGATTTCTGTTTCCACTAGGTGGCACTGTTGGTTTAGAAATACTATTTGCTCGAGGCCGGGCTCAGTGGCTCACGCCTGTAATCCCAGCACTTTGGGAGGCCGAGGCAGGTGGATCACTAGGTCAGGAGATTGAGACCATCCTGGCTTGTAATCCCAGCACTTTGGGAGGCCGAGGCAGGTGGATCACTAGGTCAGGAGATTGAGACCATCCTGGCTAACACGGTGAAACCCCCATCTCTACTAAAAATACAAACAATTAGCTGGGCGCGGTGGCGGGCGCCTGTAGTCCCAGCTACTCGGGAGGCTGAGGCAGGAGAATGGCGTGAACCCGGGAGGCGGAGCTTGCAGTGAGCCGAGATCACGTCACTGCACTCCAGCCTGGGCGAAAGAGCGAGACTCTGCCTCAAAAAAAAAAAAAAAAAAAAAAAAAAAAAACCAAAGAAAGAAATACTATGTGCTCGCCAGAGTAGTAGTAGAGAGACCTGGAAATGCCATGCACTCTCCAGACCAAGGGCAGAGAGAGAGACGCTCACTCTGGGTGGGAGCGGGGAGGAGGGGGAGGAAAGGAACCCTCTGTTCCTAGAAGATTGCAACAGCATTCCTGAGCTAAACTCCTGGTTACTAAATTCCCGCACATCAGAGAGAGAGAGAGACTGTGGATAGAAAAAGAAGGAGAGTTTTGTGACAGGATAGCTGGGGATTCTCTGCCAAAACCCGAAATGGGCTGTTGGAGGCTGGGTCCGACCCAGAGGCCTTTGAATAACGCCAGGGTGTGTCCTGGCCAGAACTTTCCCAGCCTCACGCGATGGTAAGGTTTCCCCGTGAAAGGAAACTGATTCGAAACACGGCCGACACTCCCAATGACCCGTGGGTATTGAGGGGGGTTCTCCGTGTTCTCCACCAGCAAGCCTAACATCTGAGGCCTTAGAATGGCAGTCGTGATAAGCATATTTTTAACCAGCTGAAGGATGCCTGTTGATTGATTTGATTTGATTTTAAAATAGAGGCCAAGAGCCCCTCAGAATGATAGAACAGATTTTAAGCTTGCTCCTATACTCACCATCCGATGAATGTTGTACCTCGGATTCTTGGCCAACACACCAAAATGATATGGCTCTGATAACTGAAGGAACACCAGGGCCCTTTGTCTCGCACCAATTTAGATAAATAACATGGACACACGTGGAGTGGTTTTAAGGAATGGAGAGTTTAATAAGAAAGAAGAAAGAAGCTCCCCTGTACAGAGATGGAGGGTGGCTCCAAGCAGAGAGAGAAAACCCCAAGTGGAGCGGGAAAACAGTCGGTTCTATTAGGAGGCTGGAGGAGGTGGTGTCTGATTTTCATAGGGCCCAGGGGATTGGTTTGACCAGGTATGTCACTCAGGTAGCCCACGAAAAAAACTAGCCTTCCCACCCTAGCCTTTTAATATTCAAATACAGGCCACCATGATGTTCTGCACACGTGAAGATATCTGGGGTGGCCATGATGCTTGACACACATGGTGACAAGAAGAGGGTGGGAATCACCATATTGGATGGACCCGGTTTCTAATGGCTGGCATTTGCACATCAAAGCTTGCTATCCTGGCCCTTTAAGCTGCTTTTCTGCTAGAAAAGAAATGTTTTTGGAGCTGCATTATTAAAAGAAAAAAAAAAACCTTACTAAGCTGCATTATTAAAAGAAAACAAAACCTTACCAACCTTACCCTCTCTGTCTAAAATAATTTCTTAATAACTCCTATAATAGTTTTGCTATTTTAATTCAAGAATTTTCAGCTCTTTAAAATGAAAAGGAAACTGACATTGTGTCAGATTTCATGCTGACTGCATTATGTCCATTGTATCTCATTTTAATCCTCACAGCATTTTCATTGTGTGGATAAGTAAACTGACACCCAAAGTCATGTAGGCAATAAATCCAGTAATGTGGATTAGACTTTTAAGTCAGCTAACTCCAAGTCTAAGTTGAATCAGAACTTTTAGAAATTTCTAGATTCTCAAGTTTTTAATTTTATATTTTGAAGTTTACTCCATCAGTCATCATTTGTAATACTTAAAATGAGTAAGTAGAACATTAGCACTAAATCTGGGGAAAAACACCACAATTTCAAGTATTCAGCTAAGTAGCTGAGAATTCAACCTGTTAAATAATGATCGCTTTTTGAACTCAAAGATGTTTTTCCCCCTTTACCCAGTGACCGGATCTGTAAAGGCATGCTTCCTTGTTGTGATTTTCTCCACAGTGAATCTCATTTTGTTCACTGTTACCTTGAAGGTAGACCTCAGTGGGGTCTCCAGTTTATGTGGGGATTTTTCATTAGGTTTCCTGGAATTGATCAGGCCCTGGGTTTTGTCTCATGCTTCTAGTGGCTTACATGGCTATCAAAATTGAAGTTCAAGGTCACCAGAGTTTTGCAATACCTTCAGGAACATTCTGGCTTTGGCGCTCACTTCTCTCCCAGGTAGTCTCATTTTCCTTTGTTGTTGTTGTTGTTGCTTTATTATGCTTTTAAGTTCTGGGATACGTGTGCAGAACTTACAGGTTTGTTACTTAGGTATACACGTGCCATGGTGGTTTGCTGCACCCCTCAACTCATCATCTATGTTAGGTATTTCTCCTAATGCTATCCCTTCTCTAGCCCCCCATCTGCTGACAGGCCCTGGTGTGTGATTTTCCCCTCCCTGTGTCCATGTGTTCTCATTGTTCAAATCCCATTTATGAGTGAGAACATGCAGTGTTTGGTTTTCTGCTCCTGTGTTAGTTTGCTGAGAATGATGGTTTCCAGCTTCATCCATGTCCCTGCAAAGGACGTGAGCTCATCCTTTTTTATGGCTGCATAGTATTCCATTGTGTATATGTGTCACATTTTCTTTATCCATTCTATCATTGATGGGTATTTGGGTTGGTTCCAAGTCTTTGCTATTGTAAATAGTGCTGCAGTAAACATACGTATGTGTCTTTATAGTAGAATCCCAGTAATGGGATTGCTAGGTCAAATGGTATTTCTGGTTCTAGATCCTTGAGGAATCGCCACACTGTCTTCCACAATGGTTGAACTAATTTACACTCCCACCAACAGTGTAAAAGCATTCCTATTTCTCCACATCCTCTCCAGCATCTATTGTTTCCTGACTTTTTAATGATCGCCATTCCAACTGGTGTGAGAGTCTCATTCTCATTTTTTATGGCCCCTGTGAAACTTTACTTTCTTGCCAGCTCAACAACTTATTTTGAAATATTTTAAAAAATAATTTATTCAGCATTTGTACTTATTTTTAAGATAAGGATTGTATATTATACTGCCCAAAATGGAATTCATTGTATTTCTTCTTCATTTATTTATTTATTTATTTATTTTTGTTTTCATTAATTTAAACCACAAAAAAGCAGGAGAAAATGGTGTGGGCTCTTTTTTCTAAAGAAGTAATCATTGGACTTATAAAAATAACACTTGATATTTATCTGTCTGTATACACACACATACACTCATAAACACGTATCTTCATAAAATGGGTTAAGCAAGTATTAATTGAGGTTGTTTCTTAGTGTTTTTTGTAATTTGCTTCACTTTATTTTCTATAATGAGTATATATTGCTTTTTCAATAAGAGAAACTAAAATCATTGTGGGAAAAAGGACTTTTTTGGAATAAAAATACAATTGAACCAACACACAGAGTATGTGTTGAACATGTAACTATCATAATATCTCATGTATATATCATCAAACCTAGTTAAATAAGGTGTTTTGTGTAAATAAATCTTCTGGAGAGACTGTTCCTTCAGCATGAGATTCTATTTTCTTTCAGCCATTTCAGTTGATGCTTTGTAATGTATACTAGGCATTTCCCCACCTTGTTTTTGCAGCCTGTTCCTTAGTGTTGGACTATATGGCCCTATACCGAATACTCCCAGGTTGCCAAATAATGTAGTAGATCCACTTTCTAAACATTAAAAACAAAATATGTTTGTAATAGTTTTTTCCTTCACTGTACTCTTTCTATAGTATGTTTTCTTAAACTTTCTTAAATTGGCTTCTTATTAGAAACACCAGCTGGAATAGTTACTTGATAAAATGATGTCTGTTTTAAAAATCATTACCTTCTTTTTAAGGACAAGGAGCATCCAAGATACCTGATCCCAGAACTTTGCAAACAGTTTTACCATTTAGGCTGGGTCACTGGGACTGGAGGAGGAATTAGCTTGAAGCATGGGTAAGTTTCTGGCAGCCTTTATTACTGGGAACTCTCCATTTGAGTAGACCACAGCAAGTCTAATGTGTTATATCCAAAGAACAACTGATGATCAGTTTTATGTGATACTGAAGGTCTTTAGTTTCTAAATGGACAAGTGGACATTTGTGTAACTGAATGGAAGCAATGTACAAAAGCTGCAGATATGTCAAATAGCTAAAGACTGAAGATCCACAATTTCAAATCACAATAACTTAATACTCAGTTTTTGAGTACCAGAGTTAAATAACATGCTACCAAGTATGTTCATATACCTGAGATTCTAGAGGATCCTCTCTAGGTAGATAGGATTTGTTTCAAAGGTTCAGGTACTTTGGTTTTTGAAACAGAGTCTTGCTCTGTCACCCAGGCTGGAGTGCAGTGGGGCGATCATGGCTCACTGCAGCCTTGACTTCCCAGGCTTAAACAATCCTCCTACCTCATCCTCCTGGGCAGCTGGGACTACAGGCATGTGCGACCACGCCTGGCTAATTTTTTCTGGGGTTTTTTTTTTTTTTTTTTTTGTAGAGACTGGGTCTCACTAAGTTGCATGGGCTGGTCTCAAACTCCTAGGCTCAAGCAACCCACCTGCCTTGACCTCCCAGATACATATTTCAAAGTCACTTAAATACAGATGACTAATCATTAAAAATCCTAATAATTATTTTTTATTGAATCAAAAGAACGGCAGTATGCTTTCTAAGCACCTGTATCATTAATGAATATAGTGCCTGCTAATCTGTATTCCTCAGAGGACAAAACAAGATGTACTGGACTTAAATTGAAGCAGAAAGGATAAATAGTATTCAATTGCTCATTGTATTTATTTAGTGTCATTTATTCAAGAAGATGAAGAAATAAAGTAAGTATTAGTAACTGTGAGTAAGAAGTAACTTGCTATCAATGAAATTAAGATTATAGAATCTCATTCAAGGATTTCCAATACAGGATTAATCTTTTTTTCCTCCTGAAATGTGTTAGGAATATTATTGTCTGGAGGTTGTGTGTTAAATTGAGTGATGTTGATTTATTACTTCATTCTAATTCACTTTCTTTAACAAAATTGGATTATTAAAATATTTATGTGCTGTTGAATATATATAGTCATGCCCCCAAGGAGGCTGCATTGCATATTAAGGAATGGAATGTAAAATATAATCAGAACATTGGGAACAAAAGGGATTCAATGGTACACCACAAGATGATGCCATTATAATTTTATCTGCTTTAAATTACTGAGTTAACTCATGAAATTTTCATTGAACATTGGGAAATGACAAGAGGTTCCTCTGTTAACAACTGGCACAGTTAGGGATAAAAGTATGCTCTCAGTCTAGTAAGATTATGTTCCATATGGTAGATCAATAAATCCATCTGTGCCTCCTCTCTTACCATCAGCCTAGTTGCTAATGTGTAAATACAGCATTGCTCAAGCTTTCACATTATTTTGCCAAAACTTTCAAGATGGCCTATTCACAGCAAATCCTACGATAACAACATTTATTCTTGTTTCATGTATCCATTTAGAAGTTGAGTCCCAGTAATATAGTTTCCCAACTGTATTATTTATAATAAATCATATTCTAAATGCTGTCTTTAGTTAACTGCTTTTTATTTGCATGTTCAGAAATAGTTTGTGTATGTATAAAATAAAGCTTTCTACCAAATGAGCTAAAATAACCATTTCCAACTGGCTCTTTAAAAAAACTAGCAAAGTTAAAAATAGGTGAATGCAGGACTCAAGATGAAATATTTTTGATCAAAAAGACATAAAGGACTATGTTCTTTCTAGTAGAATTTTACTAATCCATGCACTACCATTTTATGTGACCACCATAAACCACTCATTGGCGCATCTTTTAAAATTAAATGGGCTTTTATAGCACTAAAATCAGCTCATAGGAAATTTTCATCATATATGTGAAATGCTTTATCCTTAGTTCTTAATGGGTGTGGAGGTCATGGAAGGAAAGAGCCACAGTCACATGGCACTGTATTTGGAATCTTATTAAATTTGTGCTTTACATAGTAAAATGAATATTTTGTAGTAAAATGTTGGTTTTTTTCCCTAATATTTAAATGACTTAATAAGTCACTAGCATTATCAGCAATACTATTCTCATGTTGTTAGTGAAAGTTTGGCTCTTTGATGCTTAGGGCAAATAAATTTGGAATAAAATGCAAACGCAATAAATTATGTTTCCAGAATAATACAGACAATAAGCTCTTTGGGAACATAAAATGATTTACTAATTCCAAGATTTGACTGGACCATTCCAGCTTATGCTACAAGTATGTGGTACCAAAAATTAAGTCAGAAGAAGGAAATAAATGACCAAGAAAATAATAGTAATCAAGGCAATTCCAGGATACTCAATAGCTACTGTGTTTAGGTTGGGTCGCTATCATTCAAATTTATAATTTCCTGTTTTCACAGAGTAATATTGACAGGTGTCAGAGAGACTGATCCTGTTGCATGTGATTAGGACTACAATTAATAAAGTCACATTGTAGACAAAATAATTGAGGCACTATAAGATTTAAATTATTTTTTAACTGACCAGAAAGCAAATAAAAATAGAAGCAACTGAACATAGATGTATTTTGACCTCTTGGGGTTTGGCCCTTGCTTACCACAGTGAAAATGCAGGAGTACAGAGAAGTATATTCCAAAATTTAGTAACTTGAAATTCAAAATGCTTTCTGTTTGTGGCTTAAAGCACCAAGTAGATATTTCACTTTAATATTTGGCATGTTTCTATTCTAAAAAGCTCTGTCATTTTTATATTTTTATCCAGATATCTCTTTCTTTGTAGGTGTAAATATATTTTTCTAAAACATTTGGCTAATCTTTTAATTACCCAAAGTTCATCAAAGTCTAAATTAATTTCCATTTTACAAAGACATTTACAACATACCAAGTCACTTGAATAAACAGAGTACCCTTGGTTTTCCTACTTTATAGATGGGTTTTACTTACCAGCAGACCATTTTGTACTTTATTTGAGTCTATTCCCAGGACTGCATAAATTTCTCCCCACATAAGAAGACCCACAAGTCCACTTATCTGTGGAGGTGAGTGGACCATGTACCATCCTAGAGCTTCTTCCATGTTACACAAGGACACAAGATTTGGATCACTGGTATTCACAAAGAGCCCTTGTTAATAGTATGATCCCAACCCATTCTCACTGGTTGCAGAGGAATGTCCCTTTATGTTATCCTTATGTTGCAGAACTCGGAAACAATAGCCACTTCATGAAAGCAAATGCTCGCGTGCAGCTAACAGTGCATTGGATTTCCACTCACATTATCAGACATTTGTTTTCTAGACTTTATCAGTGGAACCTTAAAGAAACTTTGATTTCACCTTAGATTTTTATCGGTTCCAAGCCTACAGGTTTATTAGCAACCTGAACTTCAGCAGCTTGGTATATAGGCCATCATCCTCATTTACACTATGAAATGTTTGATATTTGTTCAATATCCCTGTGTCTGTGCCTTACTAGCAGAAACTAGAGCATGCAGGTACTGGCATTTTCTTGGTTTGCATATATGCAGTAGCTCATTAATACTCTCTGGCAGCAACTGAAACTGGTAAGTTATCAAAGATATCCAGCGAGAAGAGAAAAAACCTGATATGTGAGCCAAGGGACGTTTGTTTAGTTGTTGTTGAGGGTGGAGGGAATTTAGAGAAGATTTGAAATTAATTTCCAAATCAAATTTGAGAGCACCTTGTGGTAAATGGTAGTCTATAGCATCTCCCTTAGTCCAACATCCTGTAACAAAGAGATCTTCACATGTAGCCATTCTGATATTTTGAACTCTTTGTAGTTGTTTTAGCTTTATTACTAAATTTTTTTCCAAGATATGTATGCTTTTCAAATGGGAAGCATGTGATTCTATCCAAAAAGTAGCCCAGTGTTAATACAGTAATTTAAGAAACTGTCCAGCAGAGGTCTCTGAACTTCATGGTTTAAGAAGAGCATTTCAAACAATAAATCAAACCTGATTCTTTGCATGACAGAAATATACTTCTATTGAGCATATTTTCCAGATTGGATTTTAGAATAACTGTATTTCACATAGGTTAAACTCTGCTTATTCATGTTTAAAGACGCTGAAAACTTATGTTTTCAGATTTTTATTCCCCTAACAGGATAAAAGCCTGGTTACCACCAACTTTGCACTATAAAAAGAATAAATATATATGAAACGTAGAAGACAAAAGCAACAACTAATATTCTACAATGCCACCAGCACTACAAAGGCATTGATGTAGTTTGGCTTTCTTTCTATGCAGCCAAAATCCATAATTAAATCAAGCAACTGGCTGTATTGCTTGATTTATAAAGAACATGCATGATTGGACTGCAAACTTTTCTTTGTGCAAAAGCAGGAAATAAATAAATACCAATTTGTATGTTTTGTGTTGCCAGCGATGAAATCTACATTGCTCCTTCAGGAGTGCAAAAGGAACGAATTCAGGTATGGTAATGGGATTCTTTAACCTCAGTGTCTTTTCTTCTTAATTACTGTTTTATGAAATGGAATTAATTTTAAGAGAAAACATTCATTTTATCATAGCAATTTGAATAACTAATCAGCAAACATTTATTGAGTAATTATTAAATGTTTTGTAAGGTGGTAGATATCTTCCATACAACCGGTGTATGTTTTGAAATCTCATTCAACCTATAGGGGGCAAAAGTGAATAGTGCAATCTTAAATCACAGTAAAGAGCAATTATAACTTTGCAGCTTTATAACACTACGATCTTTATCAGGCTGGTGGAATAATCAGATTGATGGTCTCAGATGAACCAAATTAATTCATATTTCCTAATAGCAAAGTTATTCTAATTTCAGGATTTCAAGTTATGAAACTTTGTTTCAAATTTTGAGAAGTCTTATTCTGTGTTAATGCCAGAATAATACCCCAAATCTAGTTAAAGCAAACACATAATTATTTAACTTCTAATGCAAGAAAAAAAAGAAAAGCTGCTTTGTTAATAAAACATTTGTATTGTAGTTTTTTAATAAATCCTGGCAGATAAAAGCTACAGAAATACGCATGCTTTACTGTATGTGGATCAGATACCCATCAACAGTAGACTGGCGAAAGAAAATGTGGTACATATATACCATGGATTAGTATGCAGCCATAATAAAGAACAAGATCATGTCCTTTGCAGCAACATGAGTGGAGCTGGAAACCATTATCCTAAGTGAATTAATGCAGGAACAGAAAAATCAAATACCGCATGTTCTCACTTACAGTGGGAGCTAAACATTGAGTACATACAGTCACAAAGAAGGGAGCAATACACACTGGGACCTACTGGAGGGTGGAGGGTGGGAGGAAAGTGAGGATGGAAAAACTGCTGTCAGTTACTATGCTTATTACATGGGTGACAAAATAATCTGTACACCAGACTCTTGTAACATGCAATTTACCTATGTAACAAACCTCCACATGTACCCCTGGACCTAAAATAAAAGTTAAAAAAAAAAAGAAAAACCTGTAGATCTACATAATTTCTTAAGCTTTAAGAAGAATATACCTTATTGAGATTAACCTTTCTGAGTACCATCTAAATTTCTCAAGGGTTAGAAAAATTACTCAAAATTTTGCTTTTATCTAACAAAATGTGGGGAAAAAAATTTTAACACCCATCTTTGGAATGTCGATTTCTTTATATAGACTTTCTGAAATACAGTTGTGAAATTATAGGGCAAAGTTGAGAAGCTAAATTGTTGAAATGACAGCAGTAACATCATTACATAAATAGTAATTTTCCATATCATTTTTTGTCTTCAAATTTTTTTTAATTTTTGGGATTTGTATTAAACTTCTGAGAATATTTTTACTAGTAGAAATCACTGTTTTATTTCTCAAAATTGCTAAATTATTTTGAGAAACTATAATTATATATTTAAAATGTAAGTTAAATATATGCATATATTAGCACTCTATGTATATGTATACTAAATATACACACAAGTATGTATACTATAGATAAACTTTCTTGTATTCTTATGTATATGTACACAAGAAAAGGAACATTTCTAATTGATATTTTACAAGCCTTCTTTTTTTCTTTTTTTCCCCTCTATAAATAGCCTGAAGACATGTTTGTTTGTGATATAAATGAAAAGGACATAAGTGGACCTTCGCCATCGAAGAAGCTAAAAAAAAGCCAGTGTACTCCTCTTTTCATGAATGCTTACACAATGAGAGGTATGCAGAAAATATATTCAACATAAAGAATATTTGCAGAGTAGGCTCCTCTAAATAATGGTAATTATTATTTCAGTTAACATTTCTTGGATACCCACCATGTGCAAGAACTTGAAGTGCATGAACTTACTCAGTTCTCACATCAACCTATGAGGAAGGTCCATTATTCCACTTACCCTCCTGCCTACTACCAACTTATTCCATGCCAGGAAAAATAAGCCCATAACCATATGTAAATATAAGTATAACTATATGGACTTTTTTTCTTTAAAAGCTATAATTCAGTCTTCATTGAGCATGCGGCTTTCTTCTTCCTCCTTCAGGAGCAGGTGCAGTGATTCATACCCACTCTAAAGCTGCTGTGATGGCCACACTTCTCTTTCCAGGACGGGAGTTTAAAATTACACATCAAGAGATGATAAAAGGAATAAAGAAATGTACTTCCGGAGGGTATTATAGGTATTTTTTTTTCCTTTTTCTTAAATAATTTGAAAAGAATTCTTCCTTCTCTTTGATAAATAGAATACTGATCATTTTATGCATATAATGAGATGTCGTGGGATCTGTGTTAAATAATACTCCATTTAATATTACACTTCTAGACCTATTCTCATGACACGAATGGGATGTCTTCCCTCCTCTCCCGCCCCTACCCCAGCCATGGTAAATTATTAGTAATATGAATAATGAAATGTTTGTTTAAACTGAAAAAAATCTTGACTGAGATCTCTATCATGATGGAAAGATTATGTTCCTGTATTGAGGCAGCCAAAGATATCTTCAACTTCACTTTGTCTTCAGAAATTTGACCAGTGACTACAGTTTATACTTCATGGTGATTTAATTTAGTATTTCTGGAATATTTTCATATTTATGTAAGTTTTTTTAATAAAGTAGATCTCTATATTTTTAGAATTTTTCAGTGTTTAAGGTGAAATGGATAGTAAGTATAGATTACCATTCTAGATCAGTTTAAATAAATTCATCAGTCCACAAAAGTGTAGTAATTCTTCATAATTCTAGAATATAACGGCAGGAAGAAACATGTTCTCAGTGTTCAGGGACAAGCTAAGCATTTCATTTGAGTTTATTAGCATTCTCATTCCTGAACCTTCACTCTTAATTTCCTAAAGGGCTTGATTCTACCTTGCCTTGTTTAGAGGAAAACGGTGCCAGTTTTACTAAAGTGTTATTACCACAATATCATATTCTTACTGCATGTAATGGAATGTGCATGTTTAAACTAGTGCACTGAGAAATTGATTTGATTTCAGTTAATATTTATTGTGTGCTTAAAGCATTCCTCAGGACTGTGAAACACCTGTTTACAAAAGTTAAATATTTAAATTAAGAGAAGTGTACATACTGAGGAAAGTAGAGCCCCAGATTGCCTCTTCCATATCTGGGGCTGAAGGAGAGGCCTTATGGGTACTATCAGTTTCATATGAATGTTATTGTTTTGGTGAGGAAATAAAAATAGGTCAGAAGAATCAGTTTTTCTGAAAAGAGTTTGGAAAAAGTAAGGTAGAGGAACAGGGCATAAGAGAGAGTCTTTGCAATTTTGTGGAGAGGCCAAGCATGGTGGCCCTTTGCAATTCTGTTGGAGTCTAGCTGGGAAATGAGTAATAGAGTCATTAACACAGCTCAGGAGGCAGTGTTATTTTATCTGAATTTGAAGAGAATCCTGAGTCTAATCAAAAGAAAGGCAATGAAAGCTGGATGAGGTAAGAAAGGATGGAGTTTAAAATTCTCTACTGTATTTTTTTAAGTTTATCTTTTATATAAAGAACAGCTTTAAAATACAGTCACTTGTCACTGTGGATGGGGATATGTTCTGCGAAATGTGTCACTAGGTGATTTCATCATTGTGTGAACAGCAGAGTGCATACACAAACCTAAATGGTATAGCCTACTGCACACCCAGGGTATATGGTATAGCCTAATGCTCCTAGGCTACAAGCCTGCATAGCAGGTTACTGTACAAAGTACTGTAGGCAATTGCAACACAATGGTAGGTATTTGTGTATCTAAACATAGAAAAGGTTTGGTAAAAAAAAAATATGATGTAAAAGGTAAAAAGTGGCACACCTGTCTAAGGCCCTGACCATGAACGGAGCTTGCAGAACTGGAAGTTGTTCTGGGTGAATAAGTGAGTGAGTGGTGAGTAAATGTGAAGGCCTAGGACATTACACTACTATAGACTTTATAAGCATTGTATGTTTAGGCTACACGAAATTTATTGAAAACATTTCTTAATAATAACCTCAGCTTACTGTAACTTTTTTAGTTTATCAAGCTTTTACTTTTTTTTTTTAACTTTTGGACTCTTGTAATAGTACCTTAAAACACACATTGTACAGCTATACAAAAATATTTTCTTTATATCTTTATTCTATAAGCTTTTTTCTATTTTAATTTTTTTTAACTTTTTAAATTTTTTTTGTTAAAATCTGAGACACAAACACATATATTAGCCTAGGAGTACACAGGGTCAGGGTCATCAATATCACTGCCTTCCACCTCCACACCTTGTCTCAGTGGAAGGTCTTCAGGGGCAAGTAACATGCATGGAGCTGTCATCTCCTGTGATAACTAACAGTGCCTTCTTCCGGAATACCTCCTGAAGGACCTGCCCGAGGCTGCTTTACAGTTAACTTTTTAAAAACCATATAAGTAGAAGGAGTACACCCTAAAATAGTGTTTTAAAATTATAGAGTAATAAATACATAAACTACTAACATAGTCATTATCATCACGTATTACATACTGTAATAATTGTATGTGCTGTACTTTTATACAGCTAGCAGCACAGTAGGTTTGTTTACACCAGCATCACCACAGACATTTGCATAATATGTTGTGCTGTGACCCTATGACAGCTATGCGGTCATTAGGCGATAGGAGTTGTTGAGAGCCAAAAAGGCCAAAGGGATCGTGATCAACTCAGCATTCCACTGGAGGCTATATGATCAAACAGCAAACTGTTTATCATGAATGCAGGATGTGAGCAAACTCACACTGCGCCTGCCACCAAAAGGTTTGCTGAGGGACATCACTCCCTGGCACCGGGCTCCTTGAAGTTATCCATTGAGAAATCTAGAGCCTATTGTTCAAAGGATGCAGTCTTGCAAGCCTGCTGTGAACCAAAGTGGCCGACTGACAATTGCCCGACAATTGCCCCCCATTTCTCGTTATCTCTTTTACCAATAAATACGGAGGGCTGTGTACAGCTCGGGGCCCTTGTCCACTAGAGGCAAGGTGCCCCCGACCTCTTCTTCCAAACGTACTCTCTTGTTTTTATCTTTTATTCCCACGTTCGCCCCCTTTGTTCAGTCCACCAGGTCTGTGCAGGTATAATGGAGTTTTTCAGCTCCATTATAATCTTATAGGACCACCATCATATCTGTGGTCTGACATTGATGTATATGTATATACCTATATATGTGTATATATATACCTTTATATGTATAGTTATATGTATATATATACACCTATATATGTATAGTTATATATACATGTATAACTATACATATATAATATACATATATAGTTATATAGGTATATATATACATATATAGTTATACATGTATACCTATACATATATAGGTATACATTATATAGGTATATATAATATATATAATATACATGTATACTATGTATACATATATTATAGTTGTATAATGTATACATATACATAACTTTATATTATAATTGTACTCCCTTTCAGAAGCAATGTCTCTATGGTACAGTGAAAACAATACTCTTTGAGGGTCAAAGGGCTATCCTGGCTCTCTTTCTCATTTAACTTGTCTGGATCAGTGTCATGTTTGTAAAGTGGGAGGACTGGCTTGAATTCGCTTTCAGTTCTTACTTTGCTGTGAAATTATTTTGCTCCTGAAAATATTTCTGACTATTGAGTGCATGCTAGAGAAAAATATGTTTATGGTTCTCTCGGCCAATATTAGGAAAGATTTGAGACTAGCAATTCATTCCTTCAATATTTAAGGATACTTTTTTCTTTTTTTTTTGAGACTAAGTCTGGCTCTGTCGCCAAGGCTAGAGTGTAGTGTCTCGATCTTGTCTTATGCAACCTCCGCCTCCCAGGCTCAAGCCATTCTCTCACCTCAGTCTTCCGAGTAGGTGGGACTACAGGCATGCACCACCATACCTGGCTGATTTTTGTATTTTTTGTACAGATGGGGTTTCACCATGTTGGCCAGGCTGGTTTTAAATTCATGAGCTCAAACAGTCCATCTGCCTTGGCTTCCCAAAGTGCTGGGATTATAGCTATGAGCCAATGCACCTAGCCATAGTTAAGGATAGTCTATAATTACCTCTGTTTTACTTAAGTGAAGTGATGGGCAACTCTATACTCTTAATGATAATGGTTGGCCAAGTTATCAGTCACATGATGACTACTTAGTCTGTGCTTGCCCTACAGTAGCAATTGCAGAATACTTTAGCTAGAACTTTTTTTTTTAAGTTTTTAGCACTATAGAAGTAGTGAAAAAGCAGATGTTACATTAACAAAACAAGAGAAATTCATGTAAAAAGGAAAGCTTATCTGAGTTTTTGCAAGAATAGACTTAATTTTGCCAGTGACAATTATGTGTTTAAATATTACATTCTGATTTCATCACATGTATTTCCTGAGAGGACAGTGGAAGTAAAAGAAGTTCTAATGCTACAGATTTGAGAATGTTCTGAAAGCGTCGTACCTTTAAGAGTTATCTCCAGAACATTCTTGCTGTCCTAGTGCCACAAACCATGCTTGTGTTTTTTGATTTGCCTATCTCAGATACTTTGGGATTCTGCAGAAATGAAATACAGTGATTTTGTATTAATTGGGAAATTCTTAATATATAATTCAATTTTTAATCTTTTCTATGCTTCTGATTCTGAAATATATCATTTGCCATCTCCTTGTATAAATATTATGATTGTCCCTGCTTCAAGGAAACATTTATATGATCTTGATGATTTCTTTGTTAGGTTTTGGT
The DNA here is from genome assembly GCF_000001405.40 of Homo sapiens. Lineage (NCBI taxonomy): Eukaryota > Metazoa > Chordata > Mammalia > Primates > Hominidae > Homo > Homo sapiens. Next base: position 34,883,751 of record NC_000011.10, on the reverse strand, counting down.
ATATTTTACAAATTTCCACCACTTAGGCTTAGGATTAGACCAAGCCTGCCACATTCCCAAGGTACCTTTTGATAGAGATGTTTATACAAGGTACACAGAATAACACGCAACATCCTGTTCATAATTTGGAGTGGCTTTTCAGACACAAACAGCATGTCTAACTGGTTACTTGAAAAAATTACATGTTGTATACATATCAATGCTTGATTTGTTTTAATGGAAAAAAATGGCTTGTTTTGTCTTACAGATATGATGATATGTTAGTGGTACCCATTATTGAGAATACACCTGAGGAGAAAGACCTCAAAGATAGAATGGCTCATGCAATGAATGAATACCCAGACTCCTGTGCAGTACTGGTCAGACGTCATGGAGTATATGTGTGGGGGGAAACATGGGAGAAGGCCAAAACCATGTGAGTGTAAATCAGAGAACATGGGGAACAAGTTACCACCCGCTAAATGTGAAGGAAAACAAAGTATGTCAGTTGGTTTAAATTTAAATTGTTTATCATTATTTGTAGATACTTTATTTTTATTATGTATCCATTCATGAAGAAGTATTGATTGGATGAGCTGTTGTTTGGCAAGGCTCTAGGAATGTTGATAGAGGAAGAAGACACAGATCCCAAGTTACAAAAGTTCTATTTCAGAAAGTGACATCTAGTTTAAAAAAAATGTAAATTTATGTAGGCAGTATATTTTAAACTCTCTTTTATTTCCTGAGAGGTATGTAATATTGTTGCATGACTTAATATGATTCCTTTCTGTGTTTTAAAAATGTTGAGGGAAAAATAGAATTTTGGCCTAGAATTGAGAGAAAATACATACTAGGAACAAAGCAGAGTTAACTGCAAGAGAGGAGAAATGTGATTCTTTAGGATTGGAGAACTCTGTTTCGATAAACACTGGTTCTTTTTGCTTTTTCTTTTACAGGTGTGAGTGTTATGACTATTTATTTGATATTGCCGTATCAATGAAGAAAGTAGGACTTGATCCTTCACAGCTCCCAGTTGGAGAAAATGGAATTGTCTAAGCCAAAAGAAAGTCTAATTATATACAGAGATAAAGCTAAACGTAATTATTATTTAAATGAAAGCTATTTTTTTAAATGAATTGAAATTTTTCATGATGCTACTAATTTGCCACTAAATACTGCAAATGGTCACCCTGAATCTCTTCTGACATTGGATGTTATTTGCTTATATTCTTATAATTTTAAATGAGGGCACAGTGAAATGAAAATTTTATACTCTATGTTTCTGTTTATTTTTAAATCCTTAACAGCAAAATATTTGCCTTTAATTTCTTTTTTATATATACTCTCAGAGAATTCCTCTTAATTTTTAAAGATGCTGGTGATAATAAAATTCATTAGAAAATTTCCTCATTGTGGAATGAGCATTCTCTTGTTTTAATGTTGGTGTCAGAAAATAAATATGAAACATTAAGTCCAAATTTATCCCTCAATGTTAATGTCAAAATAATTTTATAGATTTCCCCTATTAGCTTTAGTGTTTCCCTGTGGTCTACAACAGGACACTCATTTTATATTGGGATCAGTTGTGAAATTCAGGTCAGGTGGTATCAACTCAAATTCCCTTAACCAAACAAATCTTGATCAAACCGATGATGTAATCAGAAAGTCCTTTCTTTAAAATTGTTTTAAATTTTAGGTTTGGGGGCCCACATGAAGGTTTGTTACATAGACAAACACATGTCACAGGGGTTTGTTGTACATATTATTACATCACCCGGGTATTAAGTTCAGTATCCAATAGTTATCTTTTATGCTCTTCTTCCTCCTCCCACCCTCCGCCATCAAGTAGACCCCAGTGTCTGTTGTTTCCTTCTTTGTAGTCATAAGTTATTGCCATTTAGCTCCCACTTAGAAGTGAGAACATGCAGTATTTGGTTTTCTGTTACTGTGTTAGTTTGCTAAGAATAATAGCCTCCAGCTCCATCCATGTTCCCGCAAAAGACATAATCTTGTTCTTTTCTATGGCTGCATAATATTCCATGGTGTATATGTACCATATTTTCCTTATCCATTCTGTCACTGATGGGCATTTAGGTTGATTCCGTGTCTTTACTCTTGTGAATAGTGCTGCAGTGAACATTTGTGTGCATGTGTCGTTATGGTAGAATGCTTTATATTCCTTCAGGTATATACCCAGTAATAATAGGATTGCTGGGTCAAATGGTTGTTCTGCTTTTAGCTCTTTGAGGAATTGCCATACTGCTTTCCACAATGTTTGAACTAATTTGCACTCCTACCAACACTATGTAAGGGTTCCCTTTTCCCTGCAACCTTGCCTGTATCTGGGTTTGTTTGTTTTTTCTTTTTTTTTTTTTTTTTTTTTTGTGACAGTCTTGCTCTGTCACCCAGGCTGGAGTGCAGTAGCACCATCTTGGCTTACTGCAACCTCCATCTCCTGGGTTCAAGCGATTCTCCTGCCTCAGCCTCCCAAGTAGCTGGGATCACAGGCATGCTACCACCCCCGGCTAATTTTTGTATTTTAGTAGAGACAGGGTTTCGCCATGTTGGCCAGACTGGTCTCAAACTCCTGGCCTCAAATGATCCGCCCACCTCGGCCTCCCAAAGTGCTGTGATTACAGGCATGAGCCACTGCCCCCAGCCTGTTTTCTGGATTCTTGGCGGAGGTTCTTCCACTGGGGAAAAATAGTTTTAGCCACCTCTGGTTAATTTCATTTTCCTCATTTTAAAATGCAGCTAATGAATAAGATAAAGTATGTGGAGGAACAAACCACAATGCTTAATCCAGTGTAGATGTTCAATAAATATTAGTGTTTTTTAAAATCCCTTTTAATCCTCATAATAGTCTTTTGAGATAGATATTGTACCTATTTTCTTAGATGAGAAAATTGAGGCTCAGATAGGAATAATAAATATGTAGAATTTAAATAAGAGAAAACAGGTAAACTTCTTAACACAGTACCTGTCATATACTATGTATGCACTCAAAATATAAACTTCCTTTCCTAAAAACCCCTCACCTAGCTATCTTCAAAGTAATTGTCATGCAGGTAAACCATTTAAACTATACAGCAGCAGCAGCACATCTCCAGTTGTATATTTCTTTCCTGGGAGTGCAGAAAAGATTGCAAAACCTGCTTTAGAGGTAGGGGAACAGCTGGTGGAAGGCTGTATCCCCTAGTTAATATCCTTTTTTTTTAAGAATATGATCCCTCCTGTGTGACTGCTAGGAGCCAAGGTCCAAAGATGAATACAAATCCAGGCTGGGAGCTAATCCTCAGTGCCTGCCACATAGGTGTTCAGTGAATGAGGGAGGGGGAAGCAGGCATTCTTCTTCACATGCCCTTGTGATTGTTGTTCTCTCAGTTATTCCAGCTTCTTTAAATAAGAGGAAAATTTGGTTATGAATGCAGGATTAAACTGCTAAGAGATCTAGATCAAACACATTTTTTATTTCATTAAGTGCAGGACATGCCATTCACTCTCAGATTGAATAAGGGACTATCATTTGTTTCTCAAATGATTCTAGAGGCTTTTGGTCCCACCCAACTTTCTTGTGAGAGATACTTCAAAATAACATAGTTCCCTAGAGAATGTCCCAAAATCCGAAAGGTAAAGTCATAATCTTAAGGAGTGTTTCATTTTATATCTCAATTTGTTCAAATACCTCCCTTTTGAGAAAATTTTGCCATGTCTCATCAGCAGTTCTAGTCAAGATGGTCAGATGTGGAACTAATAATGTTGACATCACTATTCAAGAGGCAATTTGAATTCTCCCACCAAGTTTCTTTAAAGCAGGACTACAAGGCCCAGCACAGTGGCTCACGCCTGTAATCCCAGCACTTTGGGAGGCTGAAGTAGGCGGATCACCTGAGGTCAGGAGTTTCGAGATCAGCCTGGCCAACATGGTGAAACCCCATCTCTACTAAAAATATTTTAAAAATTAGCCAGGCATGGTGGCAGGCACCTGTAGTCCCCTCTACTTCGGAGGCTGAGGCACAAGAATCACTTGAACCAGGGAGGTGGAGAGTGCAGTGAGCTGAGATCGCACCACTGCACTCCAGCTTGGGTGACAGAGCAAGACTCTATCTCAAAAAACAAAACAAAACAAAACAGATTTTGGTTTCCATTTCACTGATCTGTAATTTATAAGCACTGAATCACCAAGTTTTGGATAATAATCACTGAAATGGGTATTCTTTTGTGGTCTTAAGTTATAAACACAAATATGCTCTTAAAGTATATTTGGCTTCTGATATGAGTATTAGGGACTTAGGGTTCTAACAAATTTTAATATGTTCTACTATTTTATTCATACTTTTAGTAAGTACCTTTTACTTTTCCTACTTCATTATTGCAATAAGGACCACATCTTTGGAGATGAAACCAGGAAAATTTATATATATATATACAGTAGAGCTTTGAAAGTTAAGTAAAAATTTCCAGTAGTCAAAATTATCATAAAAAATCCTTTAAAATAACCCATCAAATATAGTGCTGTATATGTGATTTGTGAACTTAAGATTATTTCATTTATTCAGTAGTGTTTATCCACGTCCTCAAATAATCATGTTTTGTTTCTTTTGAGGATGTTGATCAAGTCATCACCAGCCTTTTATCTTGAACAATGTGTTTTAAATCATCTGCAAATTTTTCCATTGGTTTCACAATTGTTCATTGTCAGTTTCAGGTTTAATTGCATCTATTGCTTTTAATACAAGCAAAGGAAAAGTACTATTTTCCTGGTATACAATCCCTTTAGGTTAACTTTAAAATAACTCAATACATTGTGATTGGAACCCACTAGACAGTTAGGATCTGTTCTCTTTACTCATGCATGGTTAAACTTTTCTGTTAATAAACATGTCTTTCCCATGCTCTAAACATAAAAGTGTTATATGTGTATAATCTTATGCTCATTTAGGCTTGCATTGTTTGATAAAAACTGGGTGAAAAGCAAAATACCCTAGACACCACCCCCACCAAAAAAAACTACATTAGTGTAAGGAGTAAACTTATGAAACAGTAAGTTGTGCTGTGTTGGTGTCAAATGCTCCTAGTCAAAGCCTTGATGACCATCTGTAAGCTTATCTGTTTGATATAAATGATCTAAAGGACACCCAAAGAAGGTTCCAACAGGCAAGAGAATGGAGTAGGCATCCTCAGGGTGCTGAATATTTCTGCCCATGGCTGGGTAGGAAATCTTTATCCCTCAAGGGATATTACTGTAAACCTTCGTTAGCAAGTAAATATCAATAAATGTTGAATGAATGACTCTTGGTTCTCCAGCAATATTAAATGGGATTGAGGAGTAAAAAGAAGTGTCTATGTAACCTCCTCCAAATTCCATTGTAAGAGAATTGAGCCTAAGAAGAATGAATGCCATGTTAACTTTTATGTTATGGGGCATAATTGGTTATTGTTGTTAATGGAGTAGGACTGAGAAAGTCTTAAATTCCTGTTTGGGACAGAATAGAAGGGGTGGTTAATAATGGATGGGGTGGTTAATAAATAAATCAGTAATGTATTACATCTTAAAGGAAGGAATTGGGAAGAGTAGGATTATAAAATCTTGTTGAGCTTCTCTGATATCTCTTTACTAAATGTCTTTAATTTGTGTAAGTCTTCCCAGTAGCAAACTATGAATCACTTTATACATTAACTGTGTTTAATAATTGCATGAAATATTATAGTTTAGCAAGCAGTTTCACCCTTCTAGTCATCTTGTCAGCAATCCTGATGTCAGTGTTATCACCATCCACCAAAAAACATAAGCTTCTAGTGAGACAGGGCCATGTCCTATCTATTTCCATAGCCCTGTGCCTACGTGTAGCAGACAATCAAAAAATACTTGCTTTTTGAATAAACCCTCATGTTAACAATGAGACACAGGTTCAGAAAGGTTAACTTGCTCAAGACCTGTGAGCAGGAGAGCTGGGAATTTGTCCTAGGCCTTTGGCTCTAAATTGTATGGCATTTTCTCAACCTGGATGAATGAATCCCTCTCAGCAAATGCACATCTATGCATTTTATTCATGCATTTTGAAATTACTCAAGATAATAAACATAGGGACATTTTCAGGTTGATTTATCTGTTTTTATTCCTTATATAAATTTCAGGCATATTCTCTCTAACATTTTAGTAAAACTGCATACATATTTTAACAATATGCATAGAGGTGATTAACATCACCATGTTAGAATATTAGGATGTTATCCATCACACACCGGGGCCTGTCGTGGGGTGGGGGGAGGGGGGAGGGATAGCATTAGGAGATATACCTAATGTAAATGACAAGTTAATGGGTGCAGCACACCAACATGGCACATGTGTACATCTGTAACAAACCTGCTTGTTGTGCACATGTACCCCAGAACTTAAAGTATGAAAAAAAAAATACAAAATTTAGCCAGCTGTGGTGGCATGCACCTGTAATCCCAGCTACTTGGTAAGGTTGAGGCATGAGAGTCGCTTAACATGGGTAAGGTTGAGGCATGAGAGTCGCTTAACATGGGAGGCGGAGGTTGTAGTGAGCAGCCGAGATCACACCACTGCACTCCAGCCTGGGTGACAAAGTGAGACTCTGCCTTAAAATAATAATAATAATAATTTTACCACCACTGAGATGATCTTGTGACATACTTTGTCCAACAAAGTGAGGCAGAAGTGACATTATACAGTTCTGATCCTGGGTCTTGGGAAGCCTGGGGTTTCTGCTGTGTTGCAGAACCCTGCCCAGCCATCCTAGAAAAAAAAAAAAAAAAGAACGTTAGGATGTTATCAAAGAAGCAATTATTTCTCTATCTCCCTCTACGATTTTTAGGAATGAACTTAAACCGATAAGCCTGCACATTTCTGCTCTTTCCGCTTTGTTGTAGCAGTCTTTCACAGATATGAAGACAGTGATGACCCCTGTTTAGTGTAGCTTAAAAATGTGTTGATTCTGCTTTAAATTAAAACCTCTAAAGGCTTTGCACGTAAGTGACACTTTCCAAAGGCACTTTCAAAGCCATTTATAGGATTTCAGGTATAATTCTGCTCTTTAAATCTCCTTGTTTTTAGCAATTATTGCAGTTAATTTAATTGTATGACATCTCTAGTGCTCTTATCACACAATAGAATGAATTAAGTCATTTTGATCAACATTCATCAATGTCATATCAGCAATCAATGTGTGCCATTTATAGAAACACTCTGAAAAAGACTTCCTTCCTTTATCTTCCTAAATTTCAGAACTTTATTCTGATTTTCTCCTTACCTCTTTTTATCCAGAAAGCAAAACTGAACTTCTACTTCAAGTGGCTGGCTCCCTTTGCAGCCAAGAATGACATTGTTTAAAAATCTTGCTATGTTGTGACAGCTGGCACTTTGAAGGATATTACTTTGGCCCATAGTAACTTGGTAAAAATTGTTACCATTTAGCCATTTACCATTGCTTGATTCTGACTCATCAAGCTTTCCAATCAATGTGATTTTTAAGTATAAGCCTTAACTATAAGCCTTAATCTTCAATAATTCAATGCCATTCACATATTGTTCAGGCATTTTTCCTATTTATTTAAGAAATGAATCATCTATAGTTCCAATATGAAATAAAAAAAACTCTACAATAAGCCAAATCTAAAATAATACATGTCTATTATCACTCATAATCCTTGTTAATGCTTTCACACCCTAGGACTGAGGTTTTCCTTCTAGTTTTTCTTCCCTTCAATTCCTTCTGTCCATTTATTCTTAATTTGAGAGATTTTATTTGTTGCCTTATAACCTTCTTCTTTGCCTTTTTCTTCTCTTCCTTTTTATTCTTTAAACATACATCTTTTGTTTTTTTCTTTTAATCTTCTGTCTTAAGCTTAGACTTTCTCACCTGACACCCATTTTCTCAGCATATGTTAGTGAAACGGGAGAGTTCCCTGATCCCTCACAGGACTTATGACAGAGGTGTCGCTCATGTGCTCAGCCACTACAGGCTCGAACTCCTTTCGGGAGGGCGAGCACACGGATGGGCGGGGGCAAGAGCTGGGGCGGGGCGAGTGCTTTTGGGCTCCAGCCCCAGTAGCGTTTAGGGGTGTGTTACAATTAATGCTCTTTTAGTAGTTGCCATTTGTGGACGGCTAAGTGTTAAACCAGCTCAGTAGAGAGTCAGGGTGACAGCCTTTTACACCCTGCCCTCTTGGTACCTGGATCCTTGTCCGGTGTATTAGTCTGTTTTCACACTGCTGATAAGACATACCGGAGACCAGGCAATTTACAAAAGAAAGAGGCTTATTGGACTCATAGTTCCACGTAGCTGGGCAGGCTTCACAATCATGGCAGAAGGTGAAAAGCGTATCTCACATGGCAGCAGGCAAGAGGAGAGAACTTGTGCAGGCAAACTCCCATTTTTAAAGCCATCTGATGTTGTGAGACTTACTATCATGAGAACAGCAGAGGAAAGACCCGCCCCCATGATTCAATTATCTCCCACCAGGTCCCTCCCACAACACGGAATTATGGGAGCTACAAGATGAGATTTGAGTGGGGACACAGAGCCAAACCATATCATCCAGCGTCCAGGAAGATTCAGGTCACTCAGACTTGAAGGATGGTGAGTGCAGGGATTTTATTGGGTGATAGAAGTAGCTCTCAGTGGGATGGATGGGGAGCTGGAAAGAGGATGGAATGGGAAGGTGATATTCCCCCAGAGTTTGGCTGCCCCACAGCCGATCTCCTCTCTGACTGTCCCCAGCTGAACTCCTGTTGATGTTCAGACGCTCCTTCTCTTCTCTTCTTCTATGCCATGCCACTCTGCTGCTCTGTCGTTCTGCTACTCTTCTGTTCCTCTGCTCGTGGAGCTTGGGGTTTATGTGGGCACAGAATAGGGGCATGGCAGGCCAGAGTGGTCTTAGAAAAGGCAACATTTGGGCGTGAAAACAGGGATGCCTGTTCCCATTTAGGTCCATGGGTTTCCAGGCTTGAGGGTGGGGCCTTTGCCAGGGAACTGCCCTCTTCTACCTAGTATTTCCTCGCCTCCTGCCCATATCATTAGCATTTTTAATAATTTTACATTGACCTTGAGCAGAATCACTTAACTTTCATTTTCTGATTGGCATTTTCTAAGGGTCTTGTAACTCCAAATTTCAGCAAATCTTCTTTCGTACTCAGTACTTGTTCAGTGCTCAAGTGTTGGTACGTAGGTAGAGGTAAGCTGCTGTTGGTGTCTACCCAGTTTCCCTCACTCATAGGAGCCACCTCCACTCACCCACATCCCTTGAGGCTCTGGGATGATGTCAGTCACAGTATTCTGCCTGCCCTCTTGCTGCAGCCATAACCACGTGACCCGGACCTGGCCAGTCGTGGCCAGTCATAGCACACCATTTCCCTGCCTACAGAGGGGTTCAAAGTCTTAGGTTCCTAACTCAAGGAGAGGTGCCAGGACCCAACTCCACTGCCAGATAAAGAAAGCCTGTCTGTGTTTGAAGAGAATGAAACCAACACACAAAGAAAAGTATAAAAAGCAGAGCCAAGATATAGAAATATTTCTACTACAGCATTTTAGTACTTGGATTTAGCAGTACCTTTGGATTCACCTTCAGCCTTTTGAGTCAGAAGAGATGAACAGATTTGCTTTTTTAAAAGTTATTTTGAGATGATTTATTTCATAATAGAGTCTTACACAATGTCTAATAGTATATCAAACCAAATGCTATGCAATTGCATGAAATAAAAGGCTAACTCGCATTAATCTTGATGAGACTCAAGTCTTTTATGTATATTACTTCATACAAAATTGGTAAATAAAGGAATGATATTGGTACATTGGTATAATATGGAAATTGCATGGATTCATACACAATTTTTCTCAGCACATTGTTTTAAAGCAATTAGGGCAAGATTTCTTATAATTAATGAGAAAGCTTTAAAGATATATGAAAACATTTTGGAAAAAAAGCTGAAAATCTGCAGAAGTTTATTCTTTATTGGGAAAAAAAGCCTCATTTAGTAGCTTTAGGGACCTTCAGTAATTTTCATTCAGTTAAGCTATCTGGAACAGGCATGGATAAAGACACTAAGAAGATATTTCTAGTTATATAAAACAATGGATTAGGAAGCCTACAGACTGGATACGATTTTAAAATTTGATGAAAATTGAATTTTTTAAAAGCAAATGCCTTCTAATACTTACATCTTAAAGGAGGAAGCACAAGTCTAGGAAATTATAAGGAAGCAAATGATTAACAGCCATGAAAACTAGAAGAAAGCTAACTGTGGTAACATTTTTATTAGTAATATTTTTATTGGTATTCTGGTTACATAGTTCATAAGTTTTTAGTGTCTTCCTGAACCTTGTCTACTCCATTTGCCTTATTATTTTTGGTACAGCATAGATTTTTCAGGAACACTTATATGGCGTTAGAGCAGCAGTCCCCAACCTTCTCGTCACCAGGACCAGTTTTGTAGAAGACAATTTTTCCACAGATGGGGGCAGGGGGAGTGGTTTCAGTATGAAACCGTTCCACCTCAGATCATCAAGCATTAGATTCCCATAATGAGTGCACAACCTAGATCCCTCACATGTGCAGTTCACAATAGGGTTCCCACTCCTATGAGAATCTAATGCCACCAGTGATCTGGCATGAGGCGGAGCTCAGCGGGTAATGCTCGCTTGCCTGCTGCTCACCTCCTGCTGTGTGGCCCGGTTCCTAACAGGCCACAGACCAGTACAGGTCCACGGCCTGGAGGTTGGGAACCCCTGTGTTAAAGCATTTATATTACATTTATATACACCCATACTCGTTCTGAAAAGGATTGAGAATCTCTGAAGATACAGAGAGGAAAATCAAACTGTGTTTTCATTCTCTCACTCAACAACACAGAAAACTTCTGTGACCTCTGGTTACCAAGATGGATGTCGGGGATTTTTCCCCACCAGCAACCAATTCTGCAGCAGACACCATCTGCTGGGTGTCCTCCGATCCAATTTCAACAATATCTAACTGGAAACAGCATCAGATTCCACAGGTTGAAGGTTGAGTCCCAGAAGGCTGCCCTCCACTTCCAATGCCTATTGCAAGCCCCAGATTGTGACCTATGCTTCTGACTGACCTGCTGATAAATTGGGATATCCACCATTCCCTCCTTGGGTTTAATTAGCCTGCTGCAGTGGCTCACAGAACTCAGGGAAACATGTTTACCCGTTTACTATAAAGGATATTACAAAGAGCACAGATGAAGACATGCATAGGGCAAGGCACAGGGGAATCACGTGCAGAGCTTTCATATCCTCTCCAGGCATGCCATCCTCTAGAAGCCTATACTTGTTCAGGTATCTGGAAGTTTATCCAAACTCTGTCCTTTTGGGCTTTTATGGGTGCTTTATTATGTAGGCGTGATTGATTAAATTGTTGGCCACTGGTAATCAACTCAACCTTCAGCCCCTTTTTCCCTCCCTGGAGGTTAGGAAGTGAGGCTGAAAGTTTCAACCCTCTAATCCTGCCTTGGTCTTTCTGGTGACCAGCCCCCATCCTGAAGCTACCTGGAGACTGCCAGCCGTCAATCATTATCATACAAAAAGACACATCACTTTGAAGAGTCCAAGGATTTTTAGGAGTTGTATACCAGGAAACCTGAGACAAAGATAAAATATATATTTCACAACATAGGATAAGATAATATTAAAATTTACATAATAAGATGTGGGAGAAAAGGGAAAGAAAGGAAGAAATAGAAATACAGATATTAAAGTTGAAGGGTGAGATTAAAGCTAAAACAAAATTAAAGCCATGTGTTGGTAGATAAACTATTCAGATTTTGTGCCAAATAAAGTGGCAATTCCTTAACAAACCAGTTTATTACTATTACTATTTATCTCATGCTGAACAGTGTCATTGTCTGGGGTAAATATCCGAGATTCATTGTCTCATGGTCATGGAAAACTAGGACATGGACACACAAAGAGTGAGGTTCAGAGCGGAAGTTTAGTAGGTGAAAGAAAGAGAAGTGGGTTGTCACTTCTGTGGTGAAGTGCAGGAGGTTTTATAGATGACCTATATTGAGTAGGCGGTGTTTGATTTACATGGGGCATGAAAGATTGGTCAGACCAGGTGTGCCATTTGCATAGCACATGAAAATCTGGCTGCCCCCCACCTCCACACTAATATTTTATTATGCAGATAGATTCTCTACCTGGCCGGCGCCATGTTGCCTGTTCCTTTACTGCACATGTGGCCACAAAGAAAAGGGAAGATGGAGCCTCCATGCTGAACATGCCTGGGCCTGGGTAGCCCTTTTCTATTGGCAGAACTGCTGGCATTCACTGTGCAAGTTTCCAGCTTGCTTATCAATGTCTGCAGTTCAATTTTTCAGGCTTATTTTTGTTAGAAATTATTTGGGGGCTCCTTTTTGTTAAAAGGGGAATCTTGCTGAGGAGTCTTGTGCCCTCATTATCTGCCTAATTTCTTTCTAGCTCCTGTATCGATGCTAACAGGTTGGCTATTTGGGGTTAGATTTAAAAATAAGAGCATAAATTTGGTAGGAGAATTTAAATATTTTTACTCCTTTGGTTAACAAGAGATATGGTAGAGAAATTATTTAGATCTGTGAAAACTCTTATTTCCACTTTTTTTATTGATTTTTCAGCCTAAATTCATGTGTGTAATAAACATGTATATTTAACACGATTTTAAAAATTCAAACTGTACATATTCAAAATCTAAAATATATCCTTACAGTAATTTTTCCTCCCACCCTGTTCTGGTCACCCACTTCCTCTCTTTGGAGGCAACCACAGTATCAATTTCTTGCACATCCCTTCACAGATGGTCTATGCAAATATAAAAATATATCTACACATATCTGCCTTGGACACAAGGATTCACCACCCAGATCCCTTTTCATGGGAGGACTTATTGCTTCAACTCTTAGGAGTGCCGTCAGCCCCATTCAGAGATCTCAGCTGCAGATTTGCTTACCCAAGGCCATGCCCTTCCCAGGGAAGCCCATATCCAGTGACTGAGGGAGCAGGAATATGAGGACTCAGCCATTTCAGCCTGATGCTGGACATGTCTGATGTGCCAAATTTAGTTCCAGAGCTCTCCCTGGGGCAGCTGAGGCTCTCAGGCCTGTATCGCAGCTTGACTGCTCCTCAATTCGATCCTGCTTCTGCTTCCTCCCTTTCACAGGCAGGGCCACCAACAGCCCCGGTTTTCCTAGGACTGAGGGGGTTTCCAGGATGCTGTATTTTCAGCGCTAAAACTAAGGCTGTTTCAGGAAAACTGGGACAAAGGAGTCATCCTATCCACCTGCGTTGATACCAAGGACATCACCTAATAGTGACATCCTGCATACTAAACTTTCTCTCAGAGGCTGCTTCCTGGGGAACCTCAGCCTGTGACAGTCAGTAGCAAGAGTGGTCTAAGAAAGTAGGTGATAAGATAGCTTTGGAGCTGAATATCTTACCACCAAGTTGACACTGAGGACCCCATCTAGAGGTGGGTGGGGTAGATAGCCCCTGGCATAAGGTGATGGTCCAATTATTGAAACTTTCACCAGTGGTGAAGTGGGATAGCACACTAAGGAAGAGAAAACACCAATACACACCATATATCAGGCATTTGAAAATTATGGAGGAAATAGTCACAACAATGACAGTGGGAGTGGATGATTACTGTGATTGTTGCTTTGTTAAAGATAATGAAAGGCTGAGAGTGATTAATGGGCAATTAAAAGTGAAGAGTGGAAGCAAGAGGGCTTCCTTGATAGCCAAGAGATTCTTCTGCAGTAGGAAAGCAGAGAAAGCTGAAGAACAGGCTCAGGTTTTAATCATCAGAATACCTGAGATTCAGAATGTTATACTCCCAACTAAGGCAGGTCTACCATGACAAGGCCAAGGCCCTTTTTGGGAAAAAATAGGACTCTGACACAAGGGATGGGGAAACCAGCATTGATGGCTCTGAAAATCTTTAATGCTCAGATTCTTGCACTTCCCAAACCTGCAAAAGTGAATTCCCTCCCTGTTAAGAGCTAGCACCCCTTCCTTGCCTCTCCAGCTCAGGGCAACATGTAATGTCCCCAGCATCTGTTTTCACTTTCCCTTCTGGCCACTAGGTGCATAACGAGGGTTAAGTCACAGAATAACCCAGCCAGGGTTGCGCTAGGTCTGACAAGAAAGGAAAGAGTCCCCAAAGAAGCTGCAATGCCTAACTAGCAGGTACCAGCAGGCACCACGGGAGGTCCATGGAAATGAACCCCAAGAGTGCTCAATCAAGAAAGCTGGGACATAAGGCTGGTTATGAAAGAGTTTATTTATTTTTCTAAAATACAAGATTTAACACTTAGGCTAGGATCCCAGCAGGTGGGCCCAACCTGCTACATAGATGGCTCCTAGAAGTGTGGCAAAAGCAAGGACCCATGCTGAGTGAAACTAAGATATAAGAATTTCCATAGCACATGGTGGAAGAATAGATTAAAAGATGTAGGGAAGTGGGCAGGCTGGAGTGGATGTACAGTGTAAGGCCAGATAGCACACTAGATTATTACAGTTCATGGGAAGGCCTGGACATGCTATTTATCAAGGCTACAGAAAGCATTGGTGAAAGGGATCCCAGCATTACTAAGTATCCCAGGTGAAAGTAGGAGAGATCATTACATCATTCAGCTTACAGGTACGAATGGTGATAAGACCCCAAAACAATAGAAATCAATAGACACCTGTCAGCAGCTTTTCACCATCAAAAACCAGGTGATACAATTATTTCATAATGAGTGGTAAGATCAAAATCACAGCCAAGGGGGCCTCATCTGCAGAATTATATAGATGATTAAAACAACACAGCTTCAGGTTGGGCACGGTGGCTCATGCCTGTAATCCCAGCACTTTGGGAGAGGTCAGGAGTTCGAGACCAGCCTGGCAAACATGGTAAAACCCCTGTCTCTACTAAAAATACAAAAATTAGCCAAGCATGGTGGTGCATGCCTGTAGTTCCAGCTACTCAGGAGGCTGAGGCAGAAGAATTGCTTGAACCTAGGAGGCAGTGGTTGCAGTGAGCAAAGATAGTGCCACTACACTCCAGCCTGGGTGACAGAGTGAGATTCTGTCTCAAAAAAAAAAAAAAAACAACCCCAGCATCCACAGGACCAAAACAGAGAGACAGTCAACAAAGGCACCCCAAAATAAACCTTACAAATATTCAGAGGCCTGGCACTCAACTTGTACCTTGAGAAGAAATCAAGACTAGATGATCAGGAGGCTGAGTGCAGTCACCCCAATAAAAACACAATCTCTTATCCAGTTTTGTGACCTCAATTGTTATAGGGACCCAGAACCCACTGATGAAAAGAGAGGATAGTCTCCAGATAAAATGACTTTGCAACACCATGGCAACGCAAGAGATATTGATTCAGTCCTCTCCCCAAGGGGCCTATGTATAACTCTACATTGGGGGCAGAGGGAATACCCAAGCATGTGATTACTGTTGGACGTAGAATATGAGGTGATATTGATAGCTGGAGACCTGAAATGTCATCTTGATCCTCCCTATTACAAGATAATCATATGAGACCAGTTTACAAGTGGACTATTGACTGAGGTCTAGCTCACAGTGGGCCTACCTACTGATCATTTCCAAATATATAATTGGAATAGACATAGTTGATAGATGGTGCAGCTCCCACATTGAATCCTTGGCCTGTCAGGTAAAAGCAGCCTATCATAGCAGAGAAGGCCAAGTAGCAGCCTTTGAAATTTCCATCTACTCCCACCTTGCCCCCAGCCAAGCTACTAAATACAAAACAAATTCATATCCTGGGAGGGATGACAGAAATTAATGCTACCCTTAAGCATCTAAAGGAGGCCAGAGTAGAGATCCTCATTTTATCTCCACTTAATTCACCAGTCTGGACCCCTCCAGAAATTAGATGGATCTCCTGGAGCATGAGAGTAGACTACACAAACACAGCTGTAGCTGCTGTGCCAGATGTGGCACCTGTGCTAGAGCAGGTGAACATGGCTTTGGGTACACAGCATGGAGCCAGCCATTTCTATCAGAAAAAAAGATCAGAAGCCAGGTGTAGTGGCTCACACTTACAGTCCCCACTGCTCAGGAGGCTGAGGCAGGAGTATCACGTGAGCCCAGGAGTTAGAAGCCACAGTGAGCTATGATTGTACCACTGAACTCCAGCCTGGGCTATAGAGCTAGATCCTGTCTCTTAAAAAAGAAAAGACCAGAAACAGTTTAGTTTCATGTGAAATAGGCAACAGAGCTATAGTTTTCTCCAGGGCTGTGTTAGTTCTCACTCTTGTAATATAGTCTGAGGAAATTTGGGCTTTCTGAGTATCTCGCTGGACCTCATATTGATCCACTACATTGATGACATGGCGCTAAATGGCTGAATGATCAAGAACCAGCTAGCATCTGCTCCAGAGGTGGGAGGTAAGCCCTAGGAAGATTCAGAAGCTCAACATCAGCGAAAATTTTAAAGATCCAATGATGATGGGCATGCTAGCATATCCCACCCAAAGTGAAAGACAGATATTACATCTTGCGCTCCCCATTAGGAAAAAGGAAGCACAATTCCTTGTAGACCTCTTTAGGTTCTGAAGTCAGCACATTTCACACTTGGGAATGCGGCTCCGGTCCATGTGCTGGGTGTCTTGAAAATTACCATCATTGAGGGAACCCAGAGCAGAAAAGGGTTCTACAGTAACTCCTGAACATTTGAGCCAGTGACCCAGAAGACCGTATGATGTTTGAGTACCGGTGGTGGGAAAATATGTCATGTTAGTTTATGGTGAGTCCCAGTGGGACAATCGTTATGCAGATCCCAGATTTCTGGAACAAAGCCATGCCATCTGCAAGGAAGAATTATTTGCCTTTTGAAAAACTCTAGTGTGCTACTGGGCCGTAATAAATATGGAACTTGCCTCTGAGATACCAAGGGTGATGGTTAATTTTATATGCCAACTTGGCCCGGCGACAATGTCCAGATATTTGGGCAAACATCAGTCTAGATGTTGCTTTGAAGCTATTTTTTAGATATGATGGACACTTAAATCAGTAGACTTTGAGTAAAGCAGATTACCCCCATAATATGGGTGGGCCTCATCCAATCAGTTGAAGACCTTAAGGGAAAAGTTGGAGGTCCCCTGAGGAGGAAGAAATTCTGCATTCACACTGTCTTTGGATTTAAGATTGCACAAGATTGCAACATCAGCTTTTCCGTGTGTTTCTGAGAGCCTGCCGGCCTGCTCTGTAAATTCTGGTGGTGCCTGCTCACACAGTCACATGAGCCAATTCCTTACAATAAATCTCTCTATTTCCCCACTCTGTCTGTGTGTGTGTGTGTGTCCATCTATGGGTCTGTTTCTCTGGAGAACCCTAACTAATGCACCAAGTGACCCTGCATCCAGAACACGCATCATCATGAACTGGGTTTTGTCAAACCCAGTGGTCCCCAATCTTTTTGGCACCATGGGCCAGTTTCATGGAAGCCAATTTTCCCACAGATGGGGTGAGGGGGATGGTTTCAGGATGATGCAAGTGTATTACATTTATTGTGCACTTTATTTCCATTATTATTCCATTGCAATATATAATAAAATAATGGTACGACTCACCATAATGTAGAATTGGCAGGAGCCCTGAGCTACTAGATGCAACTAGATGGTCCCATCTGGGGGTGATGGGAGACAGTGACACATCATCAGGCATTAGATTCTCATAAGGAACATGCAACCTAGATCCCTTGCATGCACAGTTCACAATAGGGTTCACACTCCTATGAGAACCTAATGCCGCTGCTGATCTGACAGGAGGTGGAGCTCAGGAGGTAATGCAAGCAGTATGTAGTGCAAGCCAAAAATGGTCAGCAGCTGCTCTACACATCCCCTCAGGGGTGGCCTTGAAAGATAGTGGTCAGGGAAAAATTCTTCCAATGGAAAGAGTTCAAGAGATGAATCTGGTCACCCACTTTGTATGGACGAAAGAAATGGCCCAAAGTTATAGATTCATTGGCAGTGGCAAATGGCCTGGCTGGCTGATCAGGGGCCTAGAAGAAGAAAGATTGGGAAATTGGAATCAAATTGTCTTAGGGTAGAAAGTGTGAGAATAGATATTATAGCAAGCGTGAAGTACGAAGATCTTTGATCACATGTTAATGCCCACCAGGAAGCACATAGTACAGAAATAGTATGAAGCAATTAGGTGGGCAGGGTGACTCAGCAGGTAGAGGTCATCCAGCCTCTAAGGCTCTCTCTGTTCATTCTTCCCACAAGAAGTCATTTGATTATTTCAGACTAAGCAAATGCTCAGTGAACCACACCCCTGGTAATTACGGACAACCACCAACTTTGGCATTTACAGCCAAGTTTCATGGAAATATCTGAGCACTCAAAGCAGGAGGAGGCAGCCAGGAGACAGATCTGGAGGCCCTGCTAGGATTGTGACTCTTCACAACTATGTGCTCATTCTTCTTCCATGCCTACACTTCACCTGGAATTAACTCTTCCCTGGGCAGCTAACACTAGCATGCATTGACCCAAATGAATGTGGTGGTATTGTCACCCCCAGATGAGCTACTAGTTGCTTCAGATCCAACCATCTTTTATCCATGTCTACTTAGCAAGGACTCCAACCAGAGGCTGCACTGGGACCCTC
Source organism: Homo sapiens (assembly GCF_000001405.40). Classification (NCBI taxonomy): domain Eukaryota; kingdom Metazoa; phylum Chordata; class Mammalia; order Primates; family Hominidae; genus Homo; species Homo sapiens. The sequence goes on along the minus strand of NC_000011.10, from coordinate 34,865,121 downwards.
TCAAAGAAGCTCAAACCCATATCATTGGAAGGAGTCAGGCTGCCATTTTCCTCTGTAGAAGGTCTATATCCCAGCTTGGTAATAAAGCCACCTCCATTGGGGAAACATGAGAGAGTCCAGCTGGTGTGGTAGCCCCAGTAAATTGCTGAAACCCTCAATGGCTTCACCAAATTTTTACTACCATTTCACAGCAATAGCAAGATACTAAGGAGGAAAGATCTAGTAGTTACCTAGGAATATGTATCTGGACTTCAGGAGAGTATCTGAGAATTATCAGCAGATCTGTAGTTCATGCATCCATTCATTTGACCATCTATTAAACATCTACTATGTATCAGGCACTCTGCAAGATGCTAAGAATTTGCCAGTGAATAAGATAGATCGGGTCTCCATTGTCCTGAAATTCAGAGTCTGGTGGGATGTGGAAGTGTAAATTGAAGCCCTGGGTACAGGTCATCTTTCCAAAGGTGTGAAGAAACACTAAGCTTTAGGGCACATTCTGGAATGCAAGAGAGAGAAGAGGAACTAACAAAGGAAATGGAGAAAGAGGAAGTATGTGGAAAACTGGAGGAGCATAACATTTAGTTTAACTTGTGAGAGTTTCAAAAAGAAGAGAGAATGTAAAATATCATCTGCTGCTAAAAAGCAAGAATAAGACTGACGGGAAAAAGTGCAGTATAGTAGTGTTAAGTACATGGACTCTAGTTTCAGAAAAGCCTAACTTTGAGTCCTACCTCCACCATTTATTGGTAATGTGACCTTGGTCAAATCTCCTTTAGTGGGGACAAAAATGCCTCCTTTAAGGGTTGTTTAAATAAAATAATATATGCAAAGTGTCAAGTATACTGCCTAATAAACAGTAGTTTGTTTTTTAAATTTTGTTTTCTGTTTCACTCTTGAATTTGGCAAAAAGGAGAATTGGTGTACTCTAAGAAATTTGCCTAAAGTTCTTTAACTTTAAAATCCAACACGCGCTTTCTCATATAACCTTCCAGTGTTTGTTAATCTCAGACTAACAGTCTTCCACTCTGTGTCCCTCTGATAAGATGTAGAAAGGGCACAATCAAAGGGGACTTTAGTTATAACAAATTAGGGCTACAATTTGGTGTTCAGATGCCTCTACCTATTAATTTAGAGAATGCGGTCCGTCACACAGTTGGAAATTTAAACGAAGTATATATCTTGGTTCTCACAATTCAGAATGTGGGGCTGAGCTGGACTCTGTCTGTCCCACAGTGTAGCAGTCAGATAAATCAAGCATCAGATTCAACCCAACTCAGAAGTCTTAAGTTGGAATCTGTTTCTCCCACAGTCAGTGTAACATTCAAATAAATCAAGCATCAGATTCAACCCAACTCAGAAGTCTAATTTGGAATCTGTCTCTCCCATAATCAGTGTAACATTCAAATAAATCAAGCATCAGATTCAACCCAACTCAGAAGTCTGCAAAATATTTCCTCTTGCCTTTAATTGGACTTTCAAGACAAGGACAGTAGCAATCTTAGAAAGTTCCAACCAACCTAGATCCAACAGCATAGATTGCCCGGCCTGGGGAAGACAACTGAAAAATGAAAGCCAGATGTTAGGGGGTTAAGGAGAAGACCTTGAGGAGCCACATAGACTACTCCTTGAAGAAGTTTGGAAATGAAAAGACAGACACGGGAAATTCTGTCTACGCCACTATCAATTTCAACTGAAGCCTAGATCAATTATTTCAAGTAAGTCCTGTTTGATGAGCTGGTTTCTCAAGCAAGCATTCTGTCTCAGCTGTACCCCAAGGCCTGGCTTTCTCATGTTCCATAAGCAGAGAGGATCATAAATCCTGCTGAGATGTCAGTAGGGAAGACTCCGCTTTCTAGCATGCCCAGCCTGCAGATAATGATCTTGACTAGAAAAGTGTAAGGTGGTTAAGAGCAGTTAAGGCACCAGGTCACACTGTACTTATTCTGGGAAAAGATCACTCTCTCTGTGCCTGGGCATAGGCAAACCAAGAAATCACTGGAAGTCTCATTCTCTCCAAGAACATCAGGTATGATATCAGGCCCCACTCTGGAATGCAGGTAGGGCAGCATCTAGGTTAGTCTGTGTGGATTTGGCCTTCCTAGATCACTGACAGTTTATGGATTAGTCTTATGGTCAGGTAATTTTCTTCAAAAAGGGATCAGTCAGTGACAAGGGGCGAAGGCTCTGGTTTGGCTCAAAAATCTAAGGACCTCCCCACAGCCCAGATCTGTTATAGAGCACCTTCTATTACACCCCAGTTGTTTTTAACTCTGACCCAATATACACAAACTTCTCTGACCCTCATGAACTGGTGGAGACCAGACTTTCCATTTCTGCCCCTCTCACTTCCAACTCCTGCCTCTGTTTGCTGAAGTGGCTCTACCAGCTGATGTCCACGTAGCTGGACTTTCCTTTGGCCCATTGTGTGTTCATATGCACCAGCCAGGGGGGTTATGGGGACTTCCAGAATGCTCTTCCCAATAGTCGGAAAGCATGATGGCCAAGTGTTTATGAGGATATCTTGCTGATGGATTTTAAAGTCCCTGAAAGCTTAAGATCCAAATTCTAAGTTACCCTACATATTAGTCTCATTGACATACAAAGAAATTTCAAGGGGAGCCCTGCCTCCTGAGTTCATTGGCACCTGGTGTAGGTCACTGGCTGGCCTGTGACAGGTAAGCCTCTCCAAGTGACATGATTGGGTTTTCTCACAGATTTCCATTATTGGATTTAAATTTAAACAAAATATTCTGGGCCAGGCATGATGGTGTGTGTCTGTAGTCCTAGCTACTTTGAAGGCTAAGGCAGGAGGATCACTGGAACCCAGGAGTTCAAGGTCACAGTGAGCTATGATTGTACCATTGCACTCCAACTTGGGTGACAGAGCAAGACTCTGTCTATAAACAAACAAACAAATAAATAAATAAACAAAAATGTTCTGACATAAGGTTCACCAAGTGGGGTGGACAGAAATAAATCAGACCATTTGACTTTTGTTCATTCGTTCAGCACATACTTGCTGAGTATGCTGGACTCTGTGCTAAGTGCTCCAAGTGCAGCATAAGCAAACCAGTCAGGTTCCTGCCCTCATAGATCTGGAAGAAGTTAGTAAAATAACCTTAGAAGTAAGTGAAAAAGTAGAAGTGCTACAAGAGAGAACTATGAGGTGCTATGAGAATGTACTATCAAGAAGTTGGACCTGGTTTTGGTGGTATAAATAGTGGACTTAAGGAAGGGATATCTTAAAGTTTAATGGCCAAGAACACAGGAGACATTGGCAATACCTTATATTTGGCAGCCTTACAAAAGTCTTAGCTATGGTCAGCCTCCTCTATTCCTCTTACATTGCTTTATGTTTCCCTCTGGATAGAAAGGGAAAAGTAGAAAGTATCCATATAGGTTTAGGGGACAGGGTTTGGTTAATAAGTAATCCAATAAGAGAACATGATTTGCTAATTTACTAAATTCAAGGACAACTATGTTAACTGCCACTTCCTTTTATTTATTATCATTATTATTATTATTATTATTATTATTTTTATTTTTGAGATGGAGTCTCACTCTGTCGCCCAGGCTGTAGTGCAGTGGCGCCATCTCGGCTCACCGCAAGCTCCGCCTCCCGGGTTCACGCCATTCTCCTGCCTCAGCCTCCCGAGTAGCTGGGACTACAGGCGCCCGCCACCACGTGCCCGACTAATTTTTTGTATTTTTAGTAGAGACGGGATTTCACCGTGTTAGCCAGGATGGTCTTGATCTCCTGAGCTCGTGATCCACCCGCCTCAGCCTCCCAAAGTGCTGGGATTACGGGCGTGAACCACCGCGCCCGGCATTAACTGCCACTTTCTAAATGAAAAACTCTCAGGTAGAACTATCTGAAATTTACTATATTTAACTTTTTGCCTCATAAAAGCAGCAATTTCATCTGGTTCAGGCTAACCATATAGAGACTTCTGATAAAAAAAAAAAAAAAAAAAACCTTAAAGTGCTGATGCTGAAGAACAAGACTGACCTTAAACCATAGAACAAGGGACCATGCCAAAACAGGCTTTTTTTCCTTTATCTTTTTTTTTTCTTTAATACAGGGGTCAGTAAAACTCTGTGGAAACAAAAAGGTGTAGCAGAAAGACCACTAGATGGGTGTCAGGAAACTTTGACTCTAACCCCAGCAAGGCCACTCGCATTTTCTCTGTGATTTTGTGTAAGTTGCTTTCTGTCTCTGAGGCAATAGTTCCTCATCTGTGAAACTATAGGGCTTGACCTATGATATTTAAGGCTCCGTTCTTTCAAGACTCTTCTTGCTCCTTGCTACTGTAAGACAGTAAGACTTAGAGTAACACAGCTCTATAATCCCCAGCTTAGAATACAGCCATTTCTCATTTCCGATCCCTCGCCATATGGACAGGTGCAACCAAATGACAATACGGCCCTTATCTGCCTGTCAATCACATGTGCTAGTCTCCATGTGGACCAAGACAGAGATAGGATTCACCTTGTTGATCAGATGATTTGTGAGCTACTGCTTTATCCAGAGTATGTATTACATGTTGAAATTGTAAACATTCAGTAGGAAATCATTTTGAGGACATTACCCAAAGCATCAGAAGAAGAATTGATCTAACTACAGGCTAAAGCAAATCCAAATAATTACTACTCATTTTGGTTTTTGCCCTTCTTGAACATAGAGATGGTATTGCTCAGCACTTAGAAACTGAATCCAAACAGCTGGGGAGGGAATGCTTTCTGAAGTCCAGTTGGGCTGCCAGCACAGATCATCTCCATTCTGCTGACCAGCAGGACCACGTGCCAGCAGCCAAACCTTTAAGTCTCTCAGCATAAGAGCAAGTGGTAACGCCAGGGGTTTTAAGCCTGCAAAGAGTGATTACCTGAAAGTGAGGTCATGATTCAGGGGTTTGACTGCCAAACACTGCTGACAAAGACACACTCTTTTCCCTGACAGTACAGAATCATATTACTGCACACGCAAGTGTCTCACACCTGGGAAGGATGAAATTACACTGAGCTTAATCCTCCGAAACCAGCCCAACAAGAAGTCACTTAAACATTTAGGATAGGTGTTGTCTCCTGGCAAAGAAAATACTGCAAGGCAACCGGGCAGTTTTTACTAATGAGAAGGGCCTAGACTTGTCAGTTGAAATAATCTTTGACCCTTGATTCCCTTTATTAATTATTCCTTGAGAGGTCTAAACATAGTCTCTCTTAAGTGGGCACTCTGGTCTTTTGCATCCTTATTAACTGAGGAAATCAGCCCTTCAATGAGGTTACATAAGCATATTAAACCAAAGCAGACAGATACCAGATACTTCACTAAAAATAGGTACATAATTCATTCCTTTCAGCAAAAGCTTTGCTCCAGTTAGGGTCAGCGAAGATTACTTACATGTTGGAATGTGTCAGGGGACACATACTCAGGGTTGTAAGCAAACTGAGGCCAGACAGGAGTTTCACAACATTTATCTCTGGGTTTAATTAAACAAAAAGGCAGCATTGGGAAAGGCGTGTAAACATAAGTCTTCCAAGGAGCTCCAATGCACATCTTTCCCTAGAATCATGTTCTCTTCCACCTGCCTGTCCTGCAGGGAGGCTGGTGCCTTGGCTCCACACCAGCAGGTGGGAAGAAGCAGTAACCTCCTGAGCCATCTTTGACCTGCAGCTCCAGCGTATCATGGTCAAGTTCTTCACTCTCCTCCCTCTTCCCAGAATCCTAGTTTGGAGTGTTATGGAAAGTTAAATCCATGAAACATATATCAACTGACCTTCCTGCCAAATGCAGAACAATGCAAGAGGGTGCAGTCACCAACATTTTAAAACATATAAATAAGAAGTAGAAGTGCACCATCCCTCTCTTCTTAACTGCAATGTTTCCTTTCCCAGAGGCGACCAATGTACCAATTTCCTACACTTCTTCCAGAAGTCTTTAATGCACTTTCAAGCCTATATGTATATATTTCCTTAAATGCACACTCACATACAAATGGTAACAAACCTAACCCATCATTCTGTGCTCTACTTTTTTAAATCAGGTGTTGAAGATTCTGCCACATTGATACATATCAGACAGACTTGCTCTTTAAAGACACCAAAGTGACTGGGCACGATGGCTTACATAGGTAATCCCAGCACTTTGGGAGGCTGAGGCAGGAGGATTGCTTGAAGCCAGGGGTTCGAGACCAGCTGGAGTGACAAAGTGAGACCCCACCTCTTTCTCTTTAAAAAAAGACAGCAAAGAATTTTATGATATGGATGCACGTAAGAGACCTAATCAATTATTTAATTTTATTAGTTTAGGTTTGTTCCTCAATGTTTTGCTATTACAAATAATGTTATAACATACATATCATTGTAAGTATATCATACCCATGTGTGAATCTACCTGCAGAATAAATTCCCAGGAGTATAACTGTCAGGTTGAAAAATATGTACATGTGTGATTTTGGTAGATACTGCTCAATTACAAACCTCATAGAGGTTGTGCCAGGTCACCATCCTACCAGCAATACGAGTGGCTGTTTCCCCAAACTCTGGCCAGGCCAGGGTGTTACCAAATTTTCAGTCTTTGCTGAACCAACAGTGACAATGATATCTTATTCTTGTTTTCATTTGCATTTCTCTTACTGTAAGTAGGCAAAGCACCTTTACTAATGTTTAAATGCCTTTTTTAAAAAAAAAAATTCTGTTTCGGTGCTTGTCTCTTGATTTGTTGGTCTTTTTCTTTAATCTTGTAATGATTTGTATTCACACTTAGTACATTAAGAAAAACGGACTGTGCTGTGCAGTACAAATATTTTATTCTAGTTTGTTGGTTGACTTGTGACTTTGTGGCATTTTCTTCCATTCATATTAAAATCGTTTTTCTGCATAGTTAAAGTGATCAATATTTTCTTTCATTGAAGGGGTAGAAGTGGAGGGGAGGCAACCAACATTTAACAGACCCAAATCAAAACTGACCAAAAGCCAAACTCCTTACAATGATCAACAAGATTAGATTTTCCTTGGTTTCCTTTCATGTCCCATCTCTATCAATCCCCTCTAAGCAAAGTAAGTTCCAGCCATATACACTATCTGCATTTCTCAAAACAAATATTGGTACATATTTGTTTTATCTATATAGACTATACCATAGGCTTTTCTTTCTACTTGGAATGCCTTTCCTTAATCCTGTACTCCAAATGTATCTGTTGGACAAATTTCTATGCATACAAAGCAATTGAAATATCACTTCCTTAGTGGAGACTTCCCTGCCTATTTCATCTGAACTGTGCCTAATTAGTTATGAAACATTTTCTGAACCCCACTAGTACTGATCATATGGTTTAGTTCATAACCTACAAACCAGCAGTATGGGCTCTGGGGCCAGGCTGGTTGGGTTCAAATTTCGCCTCTGCTACTTATTTGTTGTGTAAAGGACCCTAAGCAAATTACTCAACTTCTCTGTGTCTCAATTGTCCTCATCTGCAAAATGGGGATAATGGTAATGCCTCATAGGACTGCCTCGAGAAATAAATTCATAAGAGTGTTAAACAGCATCTGCATTGAGAATAGTGCTGACACACAGAAACTGCTTATTAAATAAATAAAAACTTGTTGAGCCCAGAAGCAGTCTGAGCAACAGATAGTCAACAGCCAGGAGGCAATTGTGCAGCAACTTATCTTCTTTCCTGCCTACCTTCTTTTCGAGATTGTGAATGTCTTGAAAGAACAGGCCAAGTATTTTGCTTTACTCAACTTCATATTCTAAGCACCCAACACATGGTAGTTTCATTGAATGAATGAATAAATAAATAAATGATTTTCCATCCAAGTATCTCACTTTAGTTGAAATATAGCATAAATACATATAATAGATTCAAGAAAGGCCTCAAAATAAAAATATACGAATGTAAGTTGTCCATAACACAAGTAAATGTGAAGTCTCTCTACATTTGGTTGCTAAAGAAATAGTCAAGGAGCCCAGTGGATTAGAATAAAGAAAAGGGAATTTCCTTTAAAAGTTTAAAGCAGAGAAAGAACATGAACTGTATAGACAATTACAGAGAGTATCCCAGGGAAGGGAAATGACCCTTACCCAGAGCACTTGAGGGTCCCTAAGTCCTAGGCAGCTCCTCCCATATCTTATGAAACATATTCAGATGTACACACATCCAATATAATTTGGGGGCAAAAAAATGTAGTTTTTTTCTAATTTGGTTTTCAAATTATTTTTGTATTAGTAATTCCTTTGATTCAAAATTGGTTATGATTTCTTAGCAATCATTGGGTACCTGTAAGACGATTCAAGTGAGAAAAACTAATCCACAAATGCTTGCACCTATAATGAGATGTTTATGAATACTTAATTTAATAATTGATGAAATTAGCCTATGTCATAATTTGCAGCTATGTCACTACACATTTAAAAATTTTGGTATCACATTGTTCAATGGAATCAAAATATTTCTTCTTTATTTTTCTCCTCCAGATCTCAAGTATTTTAACCATCTCTTGAAATGTTCTTGGGCCTCAGCCTAGGCACTATGCCTATAGAAACTAATGGATAAAGCAACCCTGCTTCTTTAAAGGCCTGGAGGCAAGTGCAATCACGTTTAATGCTGAATATGGCAAACTTATTTTCCCTGTTGAAGCCAAGTATCTGTGTGGAGGATTAGTTGGATGCATGCTTCCAAAAGAAACCAGCTGTTCTTGTAAGTAAAGGCCTGCTGAAAGAAGAAACCAACCTATTTAGCTTGGAGAATATGGGGGCACAGATTGCCTTTTCCCATCACCTGCCAGGAACACCATGCACTTATTTCATCTCAATGCAAGATACAAGATCTAGGATCCAAAACACTATTTTCTATCACAAAGCCAGTTCTCACACCTTTTTCAGATCAAATGTTCCAGCCTCTTCAGAAAAGCTTAGAAAATAGTCTTTCTTTCACTCCCCACCAGTCTTCATTGTGACATATGTTGCATATCATAACCCTTGGTACTGGATGAAAGCTCCCAATCTGAATCAAGAACAGGTAAAGGTAAACAAAAAATTGAGGCTAAAAGAATCACTTAACCTGAACCACATGGTAGGAAAAGCATGCTAGAATGGAATATCCAACCGGCTATGGACATTGTTTTTGGCAGACAAATGAATGGCCCCATTATAAAGGCATCAGGGTTGGTGTATTGTCCAACTCTAGGGGGCAACATTGAATTGTATCCTATCGTTATGGTGCTCCCTGGAGTTCTGTAAACACATAGGTCTGAGAGTGATTATCACATGCCTATCTTATCCAGGGAAATAAGGAGCAAAATGGCCCAGAAGAAGAGAAAGAACATTCTACCAAGTCACACGTAACCTACCAACAGTCCACAACTGCAATTGATTTCATGCCCAACTCTTGCTACACCTAAGATTTGCATAACTTAGTACTGGGGAGGTTTTGGGGGAAACCAGAATTCCACCTCTGAAGCCAAGCCAAATCTTCAGTGACTGGAGACTGGGAAAGCTGCCTTTTTCAAATTTAGTTTGTCTTTCCCAATAGCACTTAAAGGACAAACGTGTTCTGTTCTGCATCTTTGGAACTCACTATTCATGGTTAAGTCATTGCCTTTGAGACTTTATAAGGGCTATTGGCAGTTTAGCTTTACAGTAAATGTAGTGTAATTTACACAATAAAATGCAGTCACTTGTTTAATTACTTACCTCACCTATTGGGACTTTTTCTCATCTCTCAGGTCACAGTTTTTACTTAGGGCCATAACAATGGGGTTGACATTGGTATGAAACACTTTTGAACCCCCCAGAATGAAGACTTCTTAACTGCACCTGAAGAGTGACTCGCCAAAAACAATGAAAGGTGTTTCACAATCTGAGTGGGTGAACTTCATCTAACTGATATGTAAATAAAGGAGTGGCGGGTTAACAGCTCAATACGCAGAAGCGGCCTCTCAAGAAAGCTTGGCTACTAGAAATGAAGGGCAACTTCACTCAAATCCTGTGACACTGTGGAATTTAGGCACAGCAAGATGCTTGGGCCTGGACCAATGGAAGGACAAAAGGTTCCTTTCTCTCTCTGCAGTTCATCCATGTCCAAAGAGAGAGAACACCAGGAGGTGGGACTTCTGAGTTGATTCTAAATCTTCCTGTGTAATTCAAGGCGTGTGTGTGTATCTGTGTGTGTGTTTTCTGTTTAAAACCACCAGAGAAATATAGATAGTCCCTGAGAAGAAAAGATTAATATGGCACCTTGGCCTTGCCCTTCTGGCTCACATGAGGGGGATAGCCCAGTAGACCAGCTTGGCCCAAGGGAGCAGAACCGCCCCAGATCCAACCACACAAAGAAAACAGAGACCTTGAAAGAGGAAAAATAATATTTGTGGCTATTAATGAAATCACAATCACAATAATAATTCTAATGTCAGTAGCTAGCACTTGCCCACACTTAAACATGGAAACTCAGATTCTGGCAAATTCTGCCCACTTTCCAAGGCTTTCTGGGAGTCCCAGGTGATGTTTTATAGGCATTTGCACACAGCCCTGTTGTTTTGCACTCCAGCCTCTGTGTTGAAGTCTGATACCTGAGAGTCCCTCTATGTCCTTCATAATAATTCTGGTATCAGCCAGAGCTGTGTCTCTTGGTAGTCTCAGAGCCAGTAACTCAAAAGGAGCCAAACTGACATTTATCTTCCTACCTGGGCATCAAAGCATTCCAGATCTCATGGGGTCTGCTGTGAAAACAGCTGCTTCTGCATCTCTTTCTCTCTGGGAGGGTTTAGACAGGAGTCAAGGAGCCAGACTCATCCATTTGGGAATTGATATCTGCGACAGATGATTCTTTTCTTTTCACCTCATCCCTTTCCTTACCATTTACTCTCCCTCCACCCATTCTGTTTCACTATATCAGGTAAACCCCAATAATCTACACTTTAATGAGCCCCCTTCCTGGGGGGAGCACAGATACCACCTCTGAGAAGCAAAGATGTATTCATTAAAGGCTGTATGGCCTCGTGGCTGAAGCTGTGAAGTCAGACCTGGATCTCAATACAGGCTCTACTCCTTCATACTATCTCCTTGAGCAAGTGACATAATCTCTTTGTAGCCTGGTCTCCTTGATTACCAAATGAAGACAGTAACAGACTTAGCTCATAGGATTGTGGTTAGAATTCTACAAGATCATTCATTGATTACTTCCTTGTATAAATACCTTATTGAGGATCTGTAATGTTCCAAGTACTATTCTAGGTGTTAGGGATACAACATAGAACAAAACATACAAAATATCTGTCTTCATGGAGCTTAAGTTTCAGTTAGGGAGATAGACAATAAGCAGGAATACAATAGAATAAAATGTTGGGCGGTGATACAGTCTATAAAGCATAAATCTGATTAGGGATGGAGAGGGATGGCAGGGAAAGTATTTGAGAAAAGATAGTAAGATAGTTAGGAAAGCCCTCTTTGACAAGGTGGCATATGAGCAAAGATCTGAATGAAAAATAATTCAGCACTTTGGGAGGCCGAGGCGGGTGGATCATGAGGTCAGGAGTTCAAGACCAGCCTGACCAACATGGTGAAACCCGTCTCTACTGAAAATACAAAAATTAGCCAGGCGTGGTGGTGTGCGCCTGTAATCCCAGCTACTCATGAGGCTAAGCCAGGAGAATCGCTTGAACCCAGGAGTCAGAGGTTGCAGTGAGCCGAGATCACGCCATTGCACTCCAGCCTGGGTGACAAAGCGAGACTCCATCTCAAAAAAAAAAAAAGAAAAGGAAAGAAAAAGAAAAATACTTAGCGTATTTCAGGCATAGAATGTTTAATAAATGGGACAATATTACTTTCCAGGTTCTCATCTTCAAGATGCTCATAGCCTATGTACCTGGAAATGTGGCAGTTGCTTGACTTTATTTTAAAAAATACATCCCTAGGTCAGGTACCGTGGCTCATGCTTGTAATTCCAACAGTTTGGGAGGCTGAAGTGGGAGGATCACTTGAGGCCAGGAGTTTGAGATCAGCCTGTCTCAAAAAAAAAAAAAAAAATCTCTGAACAATATTTTAAAAACATCATCACGTTTCACAAACACAACTATTTTTATTTTAAATATTGCTTTTCATTAATATAATTCTTAGTCTCCCATCCCTGATCACCTTGCTACTTAGTGCCAGACCAAGGTGCAGAACTAGATGTTTGGGGTTTTTTGTTTTGTTTAACTTTTATTTTAAGTTCAGGGGTACATGTGCAGATTTATAACATAGGTAAATTTGTGTCATGGGGATTTGTTGTACTGACTATTTCATCACCTAGGTATTAAGCCTAGTATCCATTAGTTGTTTTTCCTGATGCTCTCCCTCCTCCCACTCTCCACCCTCCAAGAGACCCAGTGTGTGTTGTTCCCCACTATGTGTGCATGTGTTCTCATCATTTAGTTCCCACTTATAAGTAAGAACATGTGGTATTTGGTTTTCTGTTCCTGTGTTAGTTTGCTAAGGATAATGGCCCCAGCTCCATCTATGTCCCTGCAAAGGACATGATTTCATTGTTTTTTATGACTGCATAGTGTTACATGGTATATACATACCACATTTTCTTTACCCAGTCTGCCATTGTTGGGCATTTACGTTGACTCCATGTCTTTGCTATTGTGAATAATGCTGCAATAAACATACGTGTGCATGTGTCTTTATAATAGAATGATTTATTTTCCTTTGGGTATATACCCAGTAATGGGATTGCTGGGTTGAATGGAATTTCTGTCTTTAGGTTTTTGAGGAATTGCCACACCATCTTCCACAATGGTTGAACTAATTGACACTCCCACCAACAGTGTTCAAGTGTTCCTTTTTCTCCACACCCTCACCAGCATCTGTTATTAATATTTTTTGACTTTTTTAATAACAGCCATTCTGACAGGTGTGAGATGGTATCTCCTTGTGGTTTTGATCTGCATTTCTCTAATGATCAGTTGGACTTTTTTTCATTTGATTGTTAGCCACATGTGTGTCTTCTTTTGAAAAGTGTCTGTTCATGTCTTTTGCCCACTTTTTAATGAAGTTGTTTGGTTTTTTCTTGGAAATTTAAGTTCCTTACAGATGCTGGATATTAGACCTTTGCCACATGCATAGTTTGCAAATTTTTTTCCCCATTCTGTCACTTGTCTGTATACTCTGTTGATAGTTTTTTTATTTTTATTTTTTTCTGTGCAGAATCTCTTCAGTTTAAATCCCATTTGTCAATTTTTGCTTTTGTTGCAATTGTCTTTAGTGTATTCATTATGAAATCTTTGCCTGTGTCTATGTCCTTTATTGCCTAGGTTGTCTTCCAGGGTTTTATAGTTTTGGGTTTTACATTTAAGTCTTTAATCTGTCTTGAGTTAATTTTGTATATTGTATAGGGAAGGGGTCCAGTTTCTGTGTGTGGCTAACCAGATATCCCAGCACCATTTATTGATTAGGGAATCCTTTCCCCATTCCTTGTTTTTGTCAGGTTTGTCAAAAAATCAGATAGTTGTAGGTGTGTGGTCTTATTCTGGGACAGAACTGGATCTTTTGACCTCTGGTTCACTTTCTCACAAAAAGCCTGTCAGTACCTGAGAAGGGTAGCAATATACTTTCTAGAGTGGAGTTACTGTTTGCTTTTGGGGAATCTGGACAGTGGATGGGAAAGGGAGTAAGACATATTGAGTAGGCAACACTGTATATCACTCAGGAGCATACTTCTCTTGGTTGGAAAGCCAGCATGGATGGTATCACTGCAGAATTATCTCAAACTACTTGGGAACCACTGAAAGCTAATATTGCTGTAAAGCTCTTATTTTTCTAAAGTATGTTCCTTGAGCATTTATTCCATGGGGTTTCATGTTCAAAATCTTGGGGAAACATCACAGACTAAATTTATCTTCTGGAGATTCCCAAAGCATCTTAACAAATTAGATTAAAGGACTTAAGTTCTGCAGCAAAGATATCTGATTAACCTTAATTGATCCAAACTTCTTTGACTACAGAATCCTTTTCTCTTTTGACACTCATTAATGTGAACTTCTTGAAATGCCTCTATGAAGACACTAAATTTGAATCAAGTAAGCACATTTTAGAATTCTGGAATCTTACAAATAGTGCAAAAGTAGGCAATCAGTAAACAGGAGGTAATTGAAAGAAGTTCTTATCAGATACATATTCAGCTTATCAAACTTCTATATACAAAGGAGTGTTCTTGTTTAAGGTATCACAGGGGCACTGGCATGCAAAGATTTCAGAACTCAATTTGTGGGGACTTATTTTCAGAATCTCAACTTTGGAGACAGAAAGTAATCTTAATGAGTATTTTTAACACTTGTTCTGAACTATGTTGTCAAGAAACACCCATAGTGAGCTTTGTTAAAATGATTTTTAAAAACACATTGAAGTATGATAGATTGCAAATGATGTTTTAAAAAGCAAACTAGAAAATATTCAAGGTTGTCCATACCCTGTGGTTTCACTTTTATCACTCTACACTCCAATATCGTTTCCTGAGTGGGAAAGAGGGGTGGAGTTATAGCCAGCCTGCTGGGAACTGCATATAACCTGCTCTTATGGGTGCAGAGGGACACACCCTTGGGAGTGTGTCATGTATATAAATCTTATCTGTCATGTCTGTTATCTGATGGAAGAAAGTTAAGAAATGCTGAAGCAACACAAGCCCTACATTTTACAAATAAGAACATGGAAGCCTGGAGAGCAAAATAACATGCCTCGGTCGTTCGGACAGAAAAAACACAATAGAACTAAGACCCAGGTGTCCTGTCTCCTGGCTCTAAACAACCTGGTCTCTTCTGAAGCATCTGCCTCAGGTCAGGTTCCCTAGAAGCAGAGCCTGAGATGGAAATTGCAGTTTAAGAGATTTACTGGAGAAGTGTTCCAGACCCCACTCAATCTAGGATTCTTCTGTGTCACCCCATACAAAGATCAGTATTCCAGTATGGAGTATGCTACCTCCTAATCCCAGAGATGCCTGTCAAGCATTGCGCTTTTTTCTTATTTGTGTAAGGTGTAAAGCACAAAAACTTTTTAGATAGGATAACCCAGCATGCACAGAATAACCCATAACCCAGCGTGTTCAGATCACTAAACCCCTAAAAACTTTACTAATGTAGTGAACCCCTGAATCTTTTTAGTGTTTTTCTGTACAAATGCTATCCCTTGAAGCATATGTATCCTGCCAAGGCATTCAGATAATTTTCCACTTCTCATCTGGCTTGGTTAACATGATGACATCAAATATAGTGGGCCAATGTAAAGTTCTGCATAATCATCCGTTGGTCTAGGTCTCTTTGGACTATTTCATGATAGAGAAGGCAGGAAACAAACATAGCCCTGAAGCAAAACATTGCATATGCACATCAACTGCTTCTGATCCTTATTTCTGATGGGCATTTAAAATATTTGCCAGGTAATAGCTTAATATTATGGATATGAGGACATGTTAATCTGCAATTGGGGGAATTACTTGGTTATGTTTATAGCAGTACGTTGTTTTCCCCTATGATCCAGTTTTTTTTAGGGGCCAGGCTGATATATTAAATGAGGATATTGCAGATCCCACCACTCCTACATCCTTTATGTCTTCAAGAGTAGCACCAATATGCCATCCCCTCTAGGATGCCAAGCAGTTTCGTATCCTATCTTGACCAAAGGGTGAAGTTTTGGGGATTTTCACACGGCCTTTCATACCACAATTGCTTTTACTTTACAGGTCGAAGAACCAAAGTAAGTGTTCTACCAACTGCTAAGAATGTTCATTTCACTTACACATTTGGGAGCTGGGGTCATGATCACTGGGCAGATCCATGGCCTCTGTTTATCAACTGTGAGACAAACCTGGGTCAGAATTCCACTTGTTACCTGACTTGCATAAGCCCCTACCCTAAAAGCGGTCATGAAAGCACTTTGGGTTCTCATGTAACAGGATCATCTCTGACCTGATCTAATAGCATCTGAAAGAACTGGGTATTCCTTTTCCTTAGTGTCTAGACATGGGTCCCTTTGGGGAAGGACTTGCTGAATCACTATGGTATATACTTGTTATGATGCTGCAGTGTCTTTTCATGTGGCAACTGTATTAGTCCATTCTCACACTGCTAATAAGGACATGCTCGAGACTGGGTAATTTATAAAGAAATAAGCGTTTAATGGACTCACATTTCCACACGGCTGGGGAGACCTCACGACCAATGGCAGAAGGCAAAAGAGGAGCAAAGGCACATCTTGTATGGTGGCAGGCAAGAGAGAAGTGAGAGCCAAGTGAAAGGAGTTTCCGCTTATAAAACCGTCAGATCTCATGAGACTTATTCACTACCACGAGAACAGAATGGAAGAAACCACGCCCATGATTCAATTATCTCCCACTGGGTTCCTCCCACAACACGTGGGAATTAGCTGCAATTCAAGATGAGATTTGGCTGTGGAGACGGCCAGACCATATCATGGGGATCCAACCTTTCTGCAGTCAGTGGGTTTTGGATCTGAGAACTGACTTAGGTCTAGAAACTGGGCAAGAGATCCTGTTTTCCATTGGGATGGCTGACCTCAGCGTTCTGTTCATCTATTCTTAATCTCATTTGATTTTACACTTTAAGTGAATATTATTAGCTACAATCTATCTTGCCCCTAGGAATAATATGACCCATTAGCCACTTTCATTGATATGTATAGGTCAGGCCTCCTTGGGTGTCATTTCAATATTGCTGCCTGTTACAGTAATTATATCCACCTTGCTTCTGATGGTTGAGAGTTACCACCTGGCCTCTGCTATTCCAGGCCCAATTATTCTCATTGACTCCAGGGAGGCTGGTTCTGGAATAGCATCTTCTACTGTCAGCCCCAGCCTAAAGATAAAGCCTCTATAGCACTTCTCAGTAGTCCTGGTATCCACCCTCAGCCACTCCCAGTGCATTCCTTTTCACCTTGGTAACTAGTGGAACATAGCTGGTGAGTTTTCCAGTATTATATAGTTGACCCATTCTAGCATGCTCAGTTCTCTGAAACTTTCAATCCCTTCCTTCTCAGTCTTCCAGGCAATCTAGCATCTCTATCTCATTTATTGCAACAAATCACTTTTTCTAAGCTACTAACAACCACCCCATCAGTATATTAGGCATCTTTCCTGAGGTCCTTAACCCTACCTTGACAAACGTTCCCTTATCTTCCCACCTTCATCCAGCATCCTCATGATCCACTTCTAGGCCTACTCATCCAGCTCCTGCTGGCATATATTAACCCATTCCTGCACCTCCTTTGGCATATAATTTCTCTCCTCCCCTTGCAGGCCTGGTACCTCTCTAGTACTTGGTGAGACTTGACCTTAAGTCTTGTGTCCAGAAGAGAATGTGATGGCTGATCCTAAGAAGATAAGACATTATAAAGCACCTGCCTTATTTGAGGTCTTAGTCTTATCTAGAAAATGGATGGGGGCTCTATCTTCCAACAGGGGGAGTGGGCCATTTATGCCTGCCAAGAAGGTTTGGAGAAATCTGAAATGTGGGGGTTCTAAGGTTCTCAAGTGCACCACCCCCAATATCTGTATCCTAAGTCTTAGGGCCCCACTCTTTTCCTATCAGGCTCTTGACATTGGCATAAGATATTTGCCTAAGCTGAGAATTCAACCTGTTTTGAAGCTCTGCTTTCCTTACTATTAGAAAAGCAATCTGCTTGCCCTTCAGCTCTGTCCACTGTCTGGCTGCAGGAGATGAGTGTCTGTAAGTGTCATCAAAGGGGCTCTCTGTTTAAAATTGATGATTAATACATTTGAGCTTTGCATTTTCTCTTTTCAATGAATCAATGGCACTTAACACCAGTCCCCTAGTTCCACAGTCCTAAATTTTCTATTTGCTCCATACCTCTCAAATGCCAGAGACATTGTACTAAGCAGTGCATTCCCTTCTACCTGCATTCTTCCTCAGATTACCAGAGTGAAGTTCTTAGCTAATGTACAGCATGCCAGAGAGTATCAATACTCTATCTACTGCCAGGAGGGGTCCTCACTGTCATCCAGCCAGTGAGTGATCCACCCCCAGGATCCCATACCTTAGAGTCCATTTCCTATGACCACTATTGGCACCAACTGTCTTAGGTAGGTCTCCCCAAAAGCAGAGCTTGAGGTGGAGATTCTTGTAAAATTTATTGGAAAAGTGTTCTCAGCAGATTGGAAGTAAGGGAAGCAGAATAGAGCAAGGGAAAAAAAAGCTAAGTAAGGATGTGGTCTCAGCTGAAGACCCTCATCAGTCTGGTCTAATAGAAAGCTCTGGAGCACAAATTGCAGCACATAGTTAGGCACGCTTGAGGCAAAGATGTCAGCCTTTTGTGTCCCTGTGTCAGTCATTGGCTACTGGCTGCTCTCGGGGGGTAAGAACCTAGTGGGCAGACACCCTTGTTCAGCAGAGAAGTCTATGAAGAAGGACAGCTGCAGGTCATTAGTAGACTTTACTCATAGCCCCTGGGGGATGAGTGAACAAGCCAGGCAGCCACAGTGTCCACTACAGATAACTTCTGTAATGATAACTCCTAGTCCCTTAAGAGTAGACTCGATATTAGCAGACAGCCAAAAAGTTATTTGGATCCAACCTGGCAAATAAGATTAATGAACAATATAATATTGTTATGTGTTTTTCTTAAATACAAATAACATTTTTTAAAGGTGATAACAATGCTTTATACAAAGACTTTCCTCTTTTCTTATGTGGTTTATAAACTATTTTGCGTGTAAGTCCCATAAAGGAGTTCCACATACTTTTATCGAATGGTATTATCATTAGATTAAGTGTCTAAGTGATCACTCTGCTGTGGGCAAAACTCACTTTTATGCATAAGCTCATGAATGTGTGCATACAAATCAGATCAATCTCATTAAATAAAAATCTTAAAAAGGAGCAAACAATTTGCACTAAGAGAAATATGTGTTTATAAATATTTTTAAAATGGTATTTGACTTCTCTAGAGATTTTCAAAATGCCTAGGAGGCACTTTTCTATTTTCTTTGTGTTTGCAAAAATACCTCTGAGGATTAATTGACACAAGCATCAAGCATTTGGGGTGGAAGTATGCACGGGAGTATACATTTTGGAAGATAATTTGGAGATGTATATCACAATTCAGAAAAGAATTGATATGTCCTCAACCCAATAATTCCATTCCTAAGAACTGATTACAAAGAAATAATCCATGATCCCAACAAAGCTGTATATTCAGGGACATTCAGATAGTGTTATTTTATATTGGTGAAAAATTAAAAACTTAAATGCCCAAAAATTATAGAATGAGTACATAAATTCTGGAACATGTGGTCCAGATGTTGAAATACTATGCCTTGAAGTTGCCTTGGCTTAAATTCCAACTCTGTCCTTCCCTAGTTGTGTAACCCTGAACAAGGCAATTAACATTAATTAATTTTTTAAAATGGAGATTACAATAATTTCTATCTCAAGGGGTTGCTAAGAGAAAGTACTTGGAGCAGTGTCTGGCTCATAGAAATGTTATCACAGTTGTTTATACAAATACAAAGTATACCTATAATATGATCTCAAATTTTTACGATTAAACACAGTCATATGCCAAAGACTGGAAAAAAAATTTACTGTACACCGAATATCTTAGTCTTTTTGTGTTGCTATAAAGGAATTCCTGAGGCTGGGTAATTCATAAAGAAAAAGCATTTATTTGGCTGATGATTCTTATGGCTGAAAAATTCAAGATTGGGTATCTGTAGCTGGTGAAGGCCTCAGGATGCTTCCATTCATAGTGGAAGGTGAAGAGGAGCCAGCCTGTTCAGAGATCACCTGGTGAGGGAAGAAGCAAGAGAGAGAGAAGCGGGAGGTGCCAGGCTCTTTATAACAACCAGCTCTCCTGGGAACTAATAGAGTGAGAACTCACTTACCCCCAAGGGAGGACATTAATCTTTTCATGAGGGGTCAGCCCCTATGACCTAAACATCTCCCACTAGACTCCACTTCCCAATACTGCCACAAGAGATTTGGTGGAAACAAACTGTAACCAAAGCATAGCATTAAACCAAGGGTTCTCAGACATCTTGCTCTTAGGATCCCTTTACGCTCTTTAAAATTACTGAGTATCTCAAAGAATTTTTGTTGGTGTGAGTTGTATCTACCAATATTTACTGTATTCAAAATTAAAATAAGGAAATTTAAAACAGGAATACAGAAGCACACATGTTGTTAGAACAATGATGTCATCACATATCATGTAGCTTCTATAAGACTTCACTGTATACTCACGACAGAATAAGAGTGAACAAAACAGATAGGGGCTTGCTGTTACAAAAATAATTCTGACCGTGTGGACCCCTTGAAAGAGTTCCAGGGACCCCCAGAGAATGTTTTGGTCACACTTAGGGTCTGTAAAGCATCTGACACACAGTAGCCAGTCAATATTTGTCAAATGAGCTCAGCTCTTGAGGATGTCTCTCAGGTACTCCACCCTGCTTAGCCACCGCCCCAACCTAGGCTCTGGCCCGGGCCAGTCAGTCTGGAGCTTCCCTGTTGCCTGAATTTGAAGGCTACTAGCAGGACTTTGTGGTGCTCACTGCAGAGATCACCAGCAAGATTGAGAGGGTCCCCTGACTCCTGCCTGGGATATTTGCTTGAAGCCACTATCTCTGAACTTATGCCCCACTTATCTCCTAAAATCCCAGTTGCTTCCAGACGAGGTACATGATGTCTTAAAGAAGTTTATGAGTCCAAGTAAGGGAATAAGAGGAGAGAACGAAGGGAAGATATATATATAGATAGATAGATAGATAGATAGATAGATAGATAGATAGATAGATATAGATATAGATATAGATATAGATATAGATATAGATATAGATATAGATATAGATATAGATATAGATATAGATATAGATATATAGATATATATGCCACTGAGCTCTCCTGCCTCAGAGATGTTTGTGGAGCCATTGGCTTATGATGGCCTCATCACTTCATGGTACATCAACTCTGCTTCATTCCATTGCACAAGATGGTCTTGATTTTTATTGTTATTGCTGGAGATTACTTCCTTTGAATTGTGTCAGAGCCTCAGAACGTCAGGACTTGTGCTGGATTTTTGCTCATTTTTAATCGTAACCATTTTAGCAGTAGAAACATTGGTTTGTTTGGGCTAATAGCTTTTGCACTGGGAAGTTGTTTTATAAAGTAACAAAGTCATCCCTTTGCAAAATTGTAAAAACTGTTTCCAAGAAAACAGATTTTGTTACAATTGAGGGTGTTTTTTTTCCTTTATGTTTTAATGTAACAATTCCTACCACATAGAAGAAAACATGGAACTAGGTGCCTTAATAATAAAGCCATGCCTCTCCTTAGCTGAAGTTTAATGAGAGGGGGAACACAGCAGCTACATTACAATAGAGAGGAGGCTGCATTGCTGGCACTGGAAAAATGCTACTGACTCGAATAATAGTAATTCTTAAAAATGCAGTGGTTTCCCTCTTAATAACTTGTGCTTGCTGCCTTTGTAATCTATTTTTAATTGATAAATAGAAAAAGATGGAAAAAATCCATGTAGTTATGAATTTCAGATGTGTGTTTGGGGGACTACTGGAAATTAGTATGTACAACCATGGCAAAAACAATGTGATTTAAAGTAATTACAATAGCTCTCTCTGGAAATCATTAGTGGTTGTAGCACTTGAGTAAAATTGACCCAGAGGAGAGGAACTATAATTTGTTTGAGGAAAGGAGGTTACAAATTGGATGAAACTTTCCAGCCTAAGCAATTCATCCCACAACATATTGCCTTAAATTGAAGTAGAGTGGGCAGATCTATTGAAATAAAGCTTACTCTCTGCTGTGCATGTACAATGTATTAAGGTATTACTTCCAAAGAGAATAGAAAAGATTGAACATTTTAAAATTTTATTTTAAGGAGGAAATTTGATTACTCCATGATATGCTTTAAATTATAAAAAGACTTTGCTCTTAACAAAATTGTGTCAAATGAATCAACGTGGCTGGGCGTGGTGGCTCACACCTGTAATCCCAGCACTTTGGGAGGCCGAAGTGGGCAGATCACAAGGTCAGGAGACGAAGACCATCCTGGATAAGACGGCGAAAACCCATCTCTACTAAAAAATACAAAAAAGTAGCCGGGTGCGGTGGCGGGCGCCTGTAGTCCCAGCTACTCGGAAAGCTGAGGCAGGAGAATGGCATGAACCCAGGAGGTGGAGCTTGCAGTGAGCTGAGATCGCACCACTGCACTCCAGCCTGGGCAACAGAGTGAGACTCTGTCTCAAAAAATAAAAAACAAAAAAATCAATGTATGAGCAAGCGGTGTCTACAAACGAGCAAGGAGTGTTATAATAATAGTATCCACGCCAAGTGCTTTACACCATGGCACTATTATCCCTGCTTTATAGACAAGAATACAGAGGCTCAGAGAGTTTCAGCTCCTTGGCTGAAGTCACCAAGCCAGGAAGTAGCAGAGCCCATATTTGAACTCAGGTTTGTGTGAGCATAGAGTTATTTACCCAGGTCTATATAGCTCCACTGTCTTAACAGGCTTGTATGATTTCAGGGGTGCTAGGGGGGTTCCCACCCCAAGAAATGCTGGGAGAATCAACTCGAACACTGATATTAAAATCCCACCCTTAGAAATTCCTGCCCCTGACTGAAACCTGTAAAACTTAATTTTCTAAGCATAGGTTACACTGTTTCTGGGGATGGGGGAGACAGGCCTGGAGTAAGAGGAGAAAGGGAAATCAAGAGGCTGGGACCCAGCACGGAGGCGTGGATAAAGGCCACGGCAACATGAGGCTGGAGGGAATTGAGGACCAACACCCTTCTTCTCCTTCAGGTGTCCCGGCAACTAAAATCTGGGAGCCAATGGGAGGCAAAGCTCCTCAATGGGCTAGACTGACACCAGTGCTGCTTGGGAACCAGGTTTGGGAAGGATGGAAGCAGCAGATGGGCTCAGTCTTACTTAAACCTGAAGTCTCTATGAAGACCTCACTCACCCAAGACGCTGGCTTTCAGCCCCCCAACATCTCAGCAGAACTCCAAGAAGTACAACATTCATTTGGCTTCCAATGAATGCAAGCAAAATGGAGTTTCAGGACCATGGCAAAAAAAGTCTTCTGGTGAAATCAGAACATTCTACATAGAGAACCTGAGAACAGGGGAGGAGGCAGAAGTGGGAGCCAGGCTGAGGCAGGAGAAAAGACAAGAAGAATGTGACTGAAAAATTAATGGAGTGACCAGAAAGGTTTTTGGGGTGTGTGTATGTGCGTGTGTGTGTGTGTGTGTGTGTGTGTGTGTGTGTGTGTGTGTTTCTACCCATTGCAGGAGGAGAATGCATTTATTTGGTGAAAAATGTTTGCTGGGTGTATACTGAAATGCTACACTGGAGCCTATACATACAGAGTATATGGCTGGTATGTTATACCGGCCCTACCTCCTGACCTTTGCATGTTTTGTGTCCTCTGCCTGAAATGCCTTTTACATTATCTACCTGTCTACTCAAATTCACCCTTTAAGACTCAGCTCAGAGATGGTCCTTTCCAGGAAGCTTCCTGTGATTCCTCCTGCTCCCTCTCTTAAATTTCTACCCAAGTATGGATTATGCTGCTGAGTATTCATAAGATCTTTGCCCTTAGTACACTGGCCTGAAGTAATCCATGTCCACGACTGTATTCCTGGCTAAACTGACATTTCTTGAGGATCATGTCTTATCCATCTTTGTATCCCTGGTACCTGGCACTTAGTAGAAGCTTAGTAAATATTCATTGCATTCATTGTGTTGATTCTCCATACCTCCCTCTCCGTACCACTGACTAATTATGGACATTTAATGAGAGGCAACTCACATAGGATAAAGAACATAGTCTGGGCATCAGACCTGAGTTGCAGTCCTGGTCCTACCACTTTCTAGATCTATAGCCTTGGGTAAGTTACTCAACCTCTCTGGTCTTTGGTTTCCTCATTTGTAAAATGGAGCTAAACTCCCCCATCTTGCAGGGCTGTTGTTAGGATTTGATGAGCCGATTTAATCCCTGACACAGTGGATGCCCAGTAATTAGTTGGCATTCCTTTTAGTGATAAGTTGTAAAAGGTTAGGCAAGTGTTGGCAGGGCTAGGCAATTGCCTGGCCTTGATGAGGAGTAAAGTCTACTGCCCTCTAGGGGCTGCATGAGTAACCTGGGCCTCACTAGCATGGTGTGCTCTACTCGCAGGAGTCCTTACTGGTCCGTGAAGGGGAAGTGGGGAATCTGTCCTAGAACACAACCCACCACTACACCACTGCCTCCTTCTGGGGCTGGCATTACACTCAGCCAGGCTAGAGAGGCAGCTTTTGGTAAAAAGAACATCAAAGTGGCAAAGACACAGAGATGGCCTTACATAACAGGAGTGGCTGTAGGAGGTGACCCCTATGCAGTGAACACGTCTGACTGTTCCCTCCTCTCCTGAAACACAGCCATCCTACGGTCTCTCCATCTTCAGCAGGAAAAATGACCACAACACTGAAAACTGGATGAAAAGGAATGGCTGAAGTCAGCTTAAAGGCCAAGGAAGGGAAATGGTCAGGTGAGGGAGAACAAGTAGAATAATTTAGAGGACTCAGGGGCCTATAAGGGTTGTGTGATTAGAAAGCCCCTGCAGAAGAAGGAGGTTCCTTGAGGGACCAAGTGAGGAGAAGGCCTTCAACTGGTGGTTTAGTTAGAATCTGTTCCAGGTGCCATGCCAAAGGTGAGCTCCAAGGGATCACTGTGTTCAGCTTCAGACCAAAGGAAAGAACAGTTCTAGATGTTATGGATTCAATGTTAGTTATCAGTGAAGCATCGTCGGTAATGGGCTGTGCCTTCCTGCCCTTCCCATGTTAAAAGCAAAGTCAAGACATTTGGCAGAGACTGCTGACTATTCTCTGATAACTCCTCTGTCCTTCTTTCTGAGCTATAGGCTTGGAATGCAGATGTGATGTCAGGGGCTGGAGCAGCTATATAGGACCATGAGGTAGGATCATTAAGAGTTAGAAGGATTCATGGTATTTCAAGACTGTGGGTTTGTCATCTCAGCTGGCAAAACCAACTGTGAAAGGGAAATAAACTTCTACCTCTTGCTTTGAATTTTCTGTCACTCATAGGCAAGCCTGCTCTTAACTGATACAAGGAGCTCCATAATAGTTTCAAAGGCCCCAAACCTCCATTTTTCTGGAAAAAAGCCATGTAGACTAATGAGGTTGAGTAACAACTATTGAGTGCTTACTATATCCCAGTCATTGTCCTAAGTACTTTAATGTATTAGTTCATTTAATCCTCATTATAATCCCATGAAATAGGTGCTTTATTATCCTTGTTTTATAGATGAAGAAATGGGCATGAGATATATTAACCAGCTTGCTCAAGTTCACATACTAAGTAGTAGAACTGGTAACTAAACCCAGATCACCAGGCTTTAAACCCAGACTCCTAACCACTGTGCTAACAAAAATACAATCATATCAGAATTCCAAATCAAATTAGTTTTGGTTGTTCTCTGTCTTGTTTTCTATCACCCACAGTTGTTTTGTCCTTTGTTATTTTCAAAATGAGGGAATAAATGCATTATTTATTATAGCAGCTTGGGAGAAACGTTTTTGAAATGATGCCCATAATGATAATGGGAGAGTGGGGGCAGACTGATAAAAACAACTCCTTTTATCATTTGGGTACATCTACTCTAAATTGGTGGTCACCACATTATCTATATGGCATGCCCCTACCAGCATAACATTTTGGGTCACACACACACAATTTTTGAAGTGTGTGTGTATGTGAGTGCATGCATATGCATGCGCACACGTGTGGAATTCACATGTATTGCTGTAGAAATAGATTCTTGTGGTGGACACTGTGGTGCTCTGCCTAGACCCTCTCTTTAGAGTTAATGCCACCACCTCCCAGCAACTGGAAATATTTGTTGCCAAAGCCTCACAGCTACATTCCTGATTGGAAACTGCCCTTGGCTATAACAAACAGCTCACCCAAGGCCATGTACTCCCAGAGGGTGGCTTGTAGCCAGTGACTGACTGATGGGGATATAAAGACCCCACTCCATTGCCTCAATGCAAGACCACTCTCAAGGGCTATCACAGCCCCGGAGCTCCCGGTAGGGTTTGTTGAGACCTCTGTTGCATGTGCATTTTAGGTCAGCTTTCTCCTATGCCCAGTACTGCCCTCCTCACTTCCATATAGTGGCAAGTTGATACAGTCCCAAGTGTACCAACTGGGACTACTCCCCAACAAACCTGCCTGCAACTCTATGTTTCAGAGTCTGCTTCTATGGACCCAATTTGGAGATTATAAAACATACTCCTAGATAAAAATTCAAACAAGGATGACATTAAAATAAATATAACAAGATCTAATATTTTCTATTTATCTCCCAGTAGTTGTCTTGTACACCCTTAGGTTGTGCCTATCTGCTTTGGGATGATTCCCAAAGATAACTTTGAACATAGGTCACATTAATCCCAGCCCTGAGATGGGAGGTAGAGGTCAAAGAGGAGGACCACACAAAAGAGGAAGAAGAAAAAAGAGCCCTTTCATCCTTCCCACCTAGACAAGTTTAGATTTTCCCAGCATGGGTATCCACAGCCCCACTTCCTTTCCCTTTGAAACATTCATCACTCATTTGATGACTGTCTTTCCAAAAGATCAAAGATCGATGAGGTCAAGACTTACATCCGTCTTGTACATGACTGCAATTAATATCCAACAGTTCCTGGCATAAAATAAGTGCCTCAATAAATATTTGCTGACAGAGGGGTGAGGAAGTTTATCCAGATGTGTTCACCCCTCACTCTCTGCTCCCAGTGGTACACACAGGCTGACCCTTTCCCCACAATTTCAGTTCGGCAGGTCTTAGAGGCTGCCCTGAATCTGGTGGGCCCTCCAAAGAGGCATAGAAGGAGGATTCATTGATTGTTTCAATTGTTTGTTGAGAACCTACTGTGCATCAAGCAACCTGCTCTGCCCTGGGGATCCAGTGCTGATCACAGACACAGACACTCGATCATAGACACAGATACAGGATCAGCAAGAAGTCCCCGATCTTGTGCAGCTTTGAGTGTGGGGGTAGATACTCATCACACAGAGCACAGAAATACAATGGGGGACAAACTAAAATGAGTACCCTAAAGGAAAGAAGGGGTATGCCCTGAAAATGGCATAGTCTGGTGTGCATTTGGGTGGTGATGGTGGTGGTGTTGGGGTGAGGATGGCAGGAGAGTGCCCTCTGAGCCAGCTTCCCCAGGAGAGAAAGTGATCCTTGAGTTTCAGCTGATGATTTGCTTAGCTGGAGCAGGGTTTCTCAATCTCAGCCCTAATTAATGCTTTGGGCTGGATCATTCTTTGAAGGCAGGGGAGGCTGTCATGTGCCTTGTAGAATCTTGAGCAGCAGCCTTGACCTCCACCCACTAGATGCCAGTAGCACCACCCACTAGCCCCAGTTGTGACAGTCAAAATGCCTGCAGACATTGCCAGATGTCCCCTGCAGGGCAGCATCACCCCCAGTGGAGACTCACTGAACTGGGAGAAGAGGCTGGAGAATGGAGAAAGGTGGGAAGGGGAGAGGTATACAAGGAGAAAAGAGAAGCATTGCAAAGGTCATGGGGTCAGCTGAGCTACTGGAGGCTGGAGAGGGCCAGGGTAGGGGCTGGCAGTGCACTCTGAGAGGCAGACAGGGCCAGACCCTGCAGGCTGAGAAAGAAGGAAATGAGTTGTCTGCTCCTTGGTAAAGAAAACAGAAACATTCAGAGAGAGGGTGAGAGCCTACAGGACTATGACAGGATCTCATAACTGTAATCATTGGAATCCAAAAATTAAGAAATAAGCCTCCATAAATCCAGAGCCCTGAGACAATATTAATGGAACTTGGTTAGCACATGTAGCCCATCCAGCCCGCTCCCAGGGCTGACAGGGGATGATAGATGAAACTGAGTGGGGTGCGAGGACATGCCAAAGGTGCTGTTGAATAAATCAGCTGACACTCCCCTGAATTTGCATTGTTAATGGCAGCACCTAAACCCCAGTGTTTCTGCAGAGACTTGTCCCGCTGCTGCCTTCCATCTGAAACGTCCCAAGTGAGTTGGCTAAGGGCAGCAGGGTGTTGAGTGATTAAGTTTGAAACACATTTTATTTTTTGAGACAGGGTCTCATTCTGTCACCCGGGCTGAAGTGCAGTGGTGTGACCACAGCTCACTGCAGCCTTGACCTTTCAGGCTCAAGCAATCCTCCCATCTCAGCCTTCATAGTAGCTGGGACTACAAGTGCGCACCACCTGCCTGGCTGATTTTTAAATTTTCTTTAGAGATGGGGTCTTGTTATGTTGCTAGGGCTGGTCTCAAACTCCTGGGCTCAAGCGATGCTCCTATTTCAACCTCCCAAAGTGCTGGGATTACAAGTGTGAGCCACTGTGCCTGGCCTGAAATACATTTTAGAATCAGCCTGGAGCTGGAAGTTGGGTAAAAGGTGCAAAAGATCTGGCAGGTGTTGTGCAGGCTTGGTGTCCTAATGAGCACCTTACAGGGCCCCTAAGGCAGAATTGTCCTGGAATGGGACAATAGGGTCTCCCAACTGGCCATTGAGTTCCCAGGCATTCCACCATGAATTCTTTGCTAAACGGTGGTGACTTCCAGTAACGAAGTTACCCTCTTTGGATCTTGCTTTGCTCCAAAACATGTTAAAGTAAGTCTTCTCTTTGGCAGGGGGTAGGGAATACTGAATAACGGAATCATCTAGGGAGCTTTTTTATTGTACAACCCAAGTCCCATCCACTGCTAAATTTCTCATATGCTCTTGAAGCACATGGGAAGGGCTGTGTTTTTCAGGATCAATGTTGCTGATTCTTCCTCTTGTCTCAAGTCCAATATAGTTTGAAAGGACACTGTCCCTACATTTGTCTTTATTTAAAATTTTGGTAGTTTTGTCCTCCTGATTTGTTTTGCATTTGTTTTGTTGCTGTTGTTCTTGTTTGACATGGGGTCTCACTCTGTTTCCTAGGCTTCGGCACAGTGGTGCAATCATAGCTTACTGCAGCCTCAAACTCCTGGGCTCAAGTGATCCTCCTGCCTCAGCCTTCCCAGCAGCTGGGACTACAGGTGCATGCCACTGCACTCAGCTAATGTGTTTCTATTTTTTATAGGGACAGGGTCTCACTTTACTGCCCAGGCTGGTGCATTAGTTTTGATCTCATAAAATATTGCATTAAAATATTATTTATCTTGATGACTGAGTTTTTCAGTGCACCTTAAATTATTTTATTTTATTTTAAATTGTTGTAAAATATTTCTAATATAAAATTTGCCATCTTAATCACTTTTAAATGTACAGCTCTTGGGCCAGGCATGGTGGCTCATGCCTGTAATCCCAGTACTTTGGGAAGCCAAGGCGGGTGGATCACGAGGTCAGGAGTTCAAGAACAGCCTGGCCAACATGGTGAAACCCCTTCTCTACTAGAAATACAAAAAATTAGCCTGGTGTGGTGGCAGACGTCTGTAATCCCAGCTACTTGGGAGGCTGAGGCAGGAGAATCGCTTGAACCCAAGAGGCGGAGGTTGCGGTGAGCAGAGATCACGCCATTGCATCCAGCCTGGGTGACAGAGCAAGACTCCGTCTCAAAAAAAAAAAAAAAAAAGAAAAAAACACAAAAGTTCAGCTTTCGGCAGTAAGTACGTCCACACTGTTGTGCACACATCACCACCATCCATCTCTAGAACTCCTTACCTTCCCAAACTGAAAGTCTGTGCCCCTTAAACAATAACTCTCTGCTTCCCCCTCCCCTAAGTCCCTGGAAACCACCATTCTACTTTCTGTCTCTATGAATTTGAAAACTTTAGGTGCCTCATTTAACTGGAATCATACAGTATTTGTCTTTTTGTGATGGGCTTGTTTCACTTAGCATAATATCTTCAAGCTTCATCCATGTTGTAGCATATGTCAGAATTTCCTCTTAAAGGCTGAATAACTTGATAAATAAAATATATATCCATATATGGAATGTATGTATATACATGTATGGTAGGTATGTATGTATGTACATATAAATATATGGAATCATATTCCATATATGTATTTACATTTTATTTATCCATTTCTGTGCTAAGGAACACTTGAGTTGCTTACATCTTCTGATTCCTATGAATGATGCTACCATGAACATTGGTGTAAAAATATCTGAGATCCTACTTTCAATTCTTTTTGGTATATATACAGATATGGAATTGCTAAATTATATGGTTATTCTATTTTTGATTTTTTGAGGAACAGCCATACTGTGTTTCATAGTGTCTGAACCATTGTACCTTCCTATCAACAGTTGTGAAAGAGTTCCAGTTTCTATGCATCTCAAATGCTGTTATTTTCTATTTTGTTTTTTAAAAAATGGTAGCCATCACGGATCACGAGACCAGGAGATCGAGATCATCCTGGCTAACATGGTGAAACCCTGTCTCTACTAAAAATACAAAAAATTAGCCGGCTGTGGTGGCAGATGCCTGTAGCCCCAGCTACTTGGGAGGCTGAGGCAGGAGAATGGTATGAACCCAGGAGGTGGAGCTTGCAATGAGCAGAGTTTGCGCCACTGCACTCCAGCCTGGGCGACAGAGCGAGACTCCGTCTCAAAAAATAAAAAATAGTAGCCATCAGCCAAAATGCCCATCAATGATAGACTGGATAAAGAAAATGTGGTACATATACACCATGAAATACTATGCAGCCATGAAAAGGAGTGAGATCATGTCCTTTGCAGGGATATGGATGGAGCTGGAAGCCATTATCCTCAACAAACTAACACAGGAACAGAAAACAAAACACCACATGTTCTCACTATAAATGGGAGCTGAATAATGAGAACACATGGATACAGGGAGGGGAACAATACACACTGGGGCCTGTCAGGGTGGCAGAGGGGAATGAGAACATCAGGATAAATAGCTAATGCATGCGGGGCTTAATACCCAGGTGATGGGTTGATAGCTGCAGCAAACCACCATGGCACACCTTTCCCTATGTAACAAACCTGCACATCCTGCATATATATACTGCTAAACAGTGGTGACCTCCAGTAAGTAAAAGTTAACCTCTTTGGATCTCAGCTTGCCCCAAAACATGTTAAAGCAAGTCTTTTCTTTGGCAGGGGGTGGGGAATAAAAAAAAACCTTAAAATAAAATAAAATTTAAAAAATATTAGCCATCTTAATAGGTGTCAGAGGTAGTGCCCCCTTACATTTTATAGCCAAGGAGGGGGCAGTCTCACTTGACTCACTGCAGTTCCAGCCCTGCCCCTTAGGTATAAGTCATCACCCAGTTGAGCCTCTGATCCTGACAGACATGTTTTTACATCCCTCACTTGGGCTGATGTAGGAAAAAATACTGTGCCTTTGGATTACAAGTTTGGCTCTACCACTTACTAGCTGTGTGAGTCTGGGCCAAATATTTAACCTGCTTGTGTTTAAGTTTCCTTACACACAAATGGAGAATAACTGTATTTACATGATAAAATTGTTGTGTGGAGTAAATGGATTAATATATATAAAGCTCTTAGAAATAGTAAGCACCACATCTGTTTAAGTGGTAGCTGCTATTATCATAGATCTCACCTGCTATGTAGTTGTTTTTATTTTTTTAAGTAAATATATTATTTTGGAATAATTTTGATTTATTAAAAGTTGCAAAAATAGTATAATAAGTTCCCATATACCCTTAACTCAACTTCATCTAATATTAGTATCTTATACAAGTGTGGTACATTTGTCAAAACTAAGAAATAAACATTGGAACAGTTACTATTATCTAAACTACAGGCTTTATTCACATTTCATTGGTTGTTTCACTATTGTTATTTTTCTGTTCCAGGATCCAAACCACATTGCACATAGGGTGTAGCTTTCTTGCTTGCTTTTCTTTCTGTTTGTGTTTGCTATTTTCCTGAAGAGTGGTTTTGGAAGCTGGACTTTGAAGGCCCTCAGATGTGGCATGGTTCTCTATTCTGCCACAATCTTTTGCCATCCCCTGTTGCCATGAGCCTGTTTCACATGCCTGCAGTTACCTGCCTGCCCCTGGAGACCTGTGAATCTGTAATCCCTGGATTAGCTGATGGCTCAATGCTTTCCCTCTGAGAGACTGTAATTTGATGATTCTGAGTCTCCAAAAATCCTTTATTAAAATTCAGACACTCTCAGGTAGCTAGTCCATGTAAACAAATCCACAGCTACATATCTTAGTAGCAAACTGTTGATGGTGAAGAAGGTCTCACAGGAATAGCTGGTGAAGAAGTGCTTGGAGGTGAGAAGTTAACAGGGGGATGGAGAGGTGCCTGCTAAGGAAGGCTGCCAGGCATTGATGCTAGACTTATCTATCTCACATTTTGGAGTGGGCCCTGCTTGAGATAGGCCTTGATTCATGCCGCTCAGCTCTGTGACCCCATACCCAAAAGTGCTCCCTGGTTCCATGGGTCTGTGAGCCCAGTGGAGCCTACCATGCTGTTGGTCATGGACCATTCCCAGCCACTGCCTCCCCACTTCCTGGAACATGGGAAACTCGAATTTTTGGTGGTGGACGGGAAAAAAAGACTAGAAAAAAACCCAGCCCTACACAATTTATTAAGGATTTTCTCTCTGTCCAGGACAATGCAAAGTGCTAATCAGGGATTTGGAGGTGAAGACCTGACATCTAAGTGACAGCAGCAGGGGTCTTTTCAATCTTGTGTTTGACTTAGATCAATAGGCTATGAGCCGTCGAAGTTTATTTTCTTCTCCATATCTTTACATATCTGGGTTTGTACATCTAGAACTACATGTCAGAGTGGCTTCTCTTATATCTGAATATGTGAAGAAGTCCACTATTGACCAATAGTATGAATTATGAGAAAAAGATGAGACGGCTGATTTTTAAAAAGTAATTGTAAATGTTCCCCTAACTTAGATTCTTGCTATTGCTTGTGGGTGAAACTTACAAGCTGCCTCCAATGTGAGCCACATAATTTCTCCCTGCCCTCACCCTAGTTCCTTTCTTGGTGCGATAGCAGTTAGGTAACAGAATGGGTCACAGAGACCTCATTTTGAGTACCGACTCCACCGCTAACTGGCAGTGTCACCTGGGGCAAGTTACCCAGCCTCTTGGTGCCTCACCTTCACCAGCAAAATGGGGATAATTGTCGCACCTGCCTCCTGGGGTTCTTGTGAGGTTAAATAAAAGGCAGATGAGGCAAAGCATACCAAGAGCTAAGTGCAATACCTGGCGTGTAATGAGTTCCCCACAAGTTTGGCTCTTGTTATTTAGAATATCAAGGGAAAGGCAGCATAATCATTTCCTAAATAGCAGCCAACATAAAAGCAAGGGAAAGAGAACAAGTGAGAATGAAGAGGAGCGTTCTTGTGGAGTGGGGGACATCTATGTGGGCTCGGCAGCTTCCACACAGAACACCTTGCTACTTCTGACAAGAACCGTGTGACTGTCTCCATCTGCCCAATGAGGAAAGTTAAACTCAGAGAGCCCAAATGACGCACCAGCAACCACACAGCGAAGATGCAAGCTGGCCTTGAAATACCGGAGTGGCATAGTTAGGGAGCACTAATGCTGGTGTCAAGAAACCTGGAATCCATCCCTGCATGCCTGCCACCTTGGACCAGCTATGTGACATGAGAGACATCTGTTAAGTTCTGTGTCTCGGTTGCCTCATGTGTGACTGTACCCAGTTTGTGGTACTTTGTTATGGCAGGCCTAGGGAATGAATATCACACATGGGGATAATAATAGTACCCCACAGGGTTATTGCGAAGATGAAATGAGTGCGTGTGAGTGTGTGTGTTGTGTGTGACGCACGGTAGTTACCAGTAGTCTTTATAAACGTGTGAGAAAAAAAAAATACTTGGGAAATTCAGACCCTCTGAGTCTAATCTACTCTTTGAATACAGAACTAAAAGAAACACCCATCTTTTACCCCTTTTACAGAGGAGAAAACTAAGCCTGAGAAAATAGAAGGTTTTTTGTTTCAGTTTAGGAACTAAATTAGGGGGAGGAGTTGTGTATGTGTGTGTGTGTGTGTGTGTGTGTGTGTGTGTGTGTGTGTGTGTGTGTGTGTGTGTGTTTTAAGCACCTGAAATAAAAACACAAAGAGACAGAACAGCAAGGCCAGATGGGATAGAAGCTAGATGGAGAATCCACAAACATGCGGAGGATGAGAAGGTTAACAAAACAGTGATGTCATTTCTGACAGATAACCGGAAAGAATGGAGGTGGTGCTGTCAAGCATCTCGGAGGCCTCCGGGCAGCGCGCCCAGTGCCAACAGCAGCCTGGCCTAGCATGCAGCCATGTGTCTCCACGGGCCTTCAAACCCAGCTCAGACACTTCTGGGGACATTCCGATCCAGCCTCTTGAGGGAGATAAGCTGTGTGCCCCTTTCTTTCCAACTGACTCCCCATTCAGTTCCCAGTCTCAGCCACCCCACCCCTGTGCAGACTGGCCAAGAAGGGGCTGTCTACAATGAGAATGTCTTTCCTGAAAGCGGAGGGCTGGCTTCAGATATGCTGTCACAAACCTTGGTCTTTCTTTCTGCTTCCATTGCTGGCCAGGTGGTTCTGTTTGGCCTGAGCTGGTACATAGTAAGTAACCCTGGGGAATGGCTCCATGTCAGACGCTGGCAGGAAAAGACAGAGGGGAATGCACAGGCAGGAGAAGCTTCCAGGGATGGGGAGACGGGGGGCCCCAACGGTTGTTGTCTTTGGCCCCTTCCAATGCTTTTCCTGCCTTGTGAAGACGTCTATGTCTAACCCACATGTAGTACACCCCCCAGCTTCTGCCTTACATTCCCCTCCCGTGAAGATATGAGGTCACCTGCTGGGCTCTTTCCTGTGTATCTGAGTATAGCTGGCAGGTCATTTGATATCTTGTCTCCCTCTCCTGCAGGTGACCTCTGAATGGCCTCAGGTTGGGGGCTGAGACTACAGAGGCTTGTGGGCAGAGTGTGCAGCTTCTACCTGCAGTGGGTGGAGAGCAGCTCCAGCTCACCTTTGCAGGTCCCGAACCAGATTTTCCCAGCTGGTCCTCACTTTGTGTTACTTCCTGCCTCTCAGGAAAGACAATTCATGAAATCTTTATGCTTTGGTGGAATGTTGGTTGCAGAGACATTCATAGAGCAGCAAAATAGCCTTTTTTGGATGAAACTGTGACCTACTTCAGGGTTCTGGAAAACAATCTCTTGCCTTCATGAATGCTGAGAACATACAGTATAGACAGGGAAGTGCAGTAGATCAGAATGAATAATAATCTTTTGAGGAAAAATTTGGGAGATCTGCCTTATTTTTTATTTTAAAAAATCAAGTTATGTTACAAGTGGCAAAATTCACCCTAAATTCAGACTAAAAAGTGTAGTTTTATGACTTTTCACAAATACACACATACATGGGACCATCATCACAATTAAGATAGAGTAGTATGGTTCCAGCTCCAAAACGTTCTCTTGTGCTCCTGTCATGGGGAGAATTATGTCCCCCAAAACTCCTATGTTGAAGTCCTAACCCTCACTACCTCAGAATGTCTCCTTTTTTGGAAATAGGGTCTTTATAGAGGTAATAATCAAGTTAAAATGAGGTCATTAAGGTAAGCCCTAACCCAAAATGACTGATGCTCTTATAAAAAGGGACATTTGGACACAGACACATACAAGGGGAACACGATGTGAACATGGAGGCAGCCATCTTCATGGCTGGAGAGAAGAAGAGACACCAAGGAGAGGAGCCTGGACAGATCCTCCCCTTGCAGCTCTCAGAAGGAGACAACTCTGCCAACATCTTGACTTTAGACTTCCAGGCTTCAGGACTCTGAGACAATACATTTCTGTTGAAGTCACACAGTTTGCGGTATTTTGTGATGGCGGTCCTAGGAAATGGATACAATACCTTTATAGTCAATCACCTCCCCTGGACCCTGCCCCTGGCAGCCACTGATCAGATTTTTGCCCCTATAGTTTTACTTTTCCCAGAATGTTATATAAATGGAATCACACACATACTGTATGCGGCCTTTTGAATCTAGCTTCCTTCATTCAGCACAGAGCTTTTGAGATTGATCCATTTTTTTTCTTTTTCATTCCTTTTTAAAATTGCTAAATAGTATTCCATTGTATGGATGCACAGTTTATCTACCCACGAGTTGAAGGATACTTGTATTATTCCAGGGTTTGGTTGCTGTGACTAAAGCATCTATAGATGTTCACATATCAACTTTTTTGTGCGCGAATGTAGGTTTTCATTTCTCTTGCATAAATGTTTAGGGGATTTCCTGGGTCGTATGATAAGCAGGTTTAAATTTGTAAGAAACTACCAAATCATTTCCAAGTGGTTGTTCCATTTTTGCATTCCCATCAACAGTGTATGAAAATTTAAGTGCTTCACATCCTCATTGTACTTCATATTATCTGCTTTTTGGTTTTGCCAACCTGCTAGGTATACACAGGTATTTCATTTTGTTTTTAATTTGCATTTTCTTAATAACTAAAGATGTCGAACATCTTTTCATGTGGTTATTTGGCATCCATGTAACTTCTCTTGTGAGGTATCGATTTAAACCTTTTCCTTATTTCTAATTGTGTTGTTTGTTTTCTTATTATTCAGTTTAGACAGGATAAACATCCTTTATCAAATGTGTATTTGGTAAATACTTTCTACCAATTGGTGTCTTATCTTTTTATTTTCCCAACAGTATTTTTTGAAAAGCAGATGTTTTAAATGTTTATGTAGTCATTTATTGATTTCTTTTCTTTGATGGATAATGCTTTTGTTGCCATATTTTTAAAAATCTTTGCTTAACCCAAGGTGACAAAGATTTTCAGAACATTTGCTTTTCATCCTGACTCAGTGGCTGATTCTGCTGCTAGACAAGTAATTTATCCTTTCTCAGCCTTAGTTTACCCCTCTGTGAAATGTGAAGATTGAAGTATATCAGTGTTTTTCAAACTTTTTGAAACCAAGGGAACCTACTTTTAACTGAGATCATACATATACCCCAGGATATAAAACAAACATAAGTGTACCTGGGGCCCTGACCTCCTGCAGTCTCTTGAACTGCGGTTCCCTACCTTTCATATTACATAAATCACCTGAAGACCTTGTGAAGGTTTGATTCATAGGTCTGGGATAGGCTGGGGTTCTGCAGTTTTAACAAATTATCAAGTTCTAGGTGATGCCTACCGCTGGTCAAGGGACCTCACTTTGAGTGGCAAAGCCCCAGAGTACTTTCTAAGCCACAGGGGGACGTCTGCTTTTGTCGACATAAGACTTGGGAGTTTTACAATGTGTTTCTTCCAAGAAGAGCAAAGTTCTTCCATATCAGTAATTCTCTTTTCCTCCCTATTGTCTATCCTACTATTATCCAAGTCACTGAGAGGTACACTGAGCCCAGGTTTGAGCCAAGATCACTGGAACCTGGCAGAATCAGGTAGAGAAGAATACTACCAGCAGCTGGGGACTAGCACCACTGTGAACTGTGTGGTAACGTCATTGTAACATTAAGAACTTCTGTTGCATCAGAAACAAGGGAAAGGGCAAAGGAAGTTTTTGGCTGTAACTAGAAAGTTTGAGTTCATGTTAATGTCAGGTATAGTCAGCTCTAGGTGTTCAGATGATATCATTAGAAACATGGCTCTCTGAAAGTTTTAGTTCATGCTTCTCTGAATTGGTTTCACTTCCAGGCAGGCTCTTGACATGCCAGGGTAAAGAGTCCATTCACTGGTCTAAGCCTGCATTCCATCAGCTTTGCACCATCAACAGAAAGCTCTTTTTTTTCCCCCAATAGTTTCTACAAAATCCCTACATTTGAGTTTCATTGACTTAGGTCAGGCTGCATGGCTATGCATTTAACAATGACTTCAGCCAGTGGGACTGTGGCATGTAGTGATTTGATGGTCTAGGCCTAGATGATGCCTGGACCCTGGGGTGAAGTTAGCTTCACCTGAACCGCATGCACTTAAAGTATGGAAGAAAAATTTCCCGAAAGAAAGGGGAATGCTCTTTGCTTAGTGGGCAAACAACAGAGTCCACTACAGCCATTATGATTTTATGTGTATGAAAGGCTATGTCTTTGTTGTTATTCTTATTTATTTATTTATGTGTTAAGAGGAAAGGGGAAACAAGATATAACTCAGGTGACCAGGAAACACCCTCCTTGTGCCTTTGATGTCACAATTCTTTCTTAGCACTCAAGTTATTTTCCTTCTCCCATTTTCAGTGCAGCTCTCTCACCTCCAACACTCAAGATTTTCATGCCACCTTTCCCAATCAGATAAATGTATTTGCATTTCAATGCTGGAGACGTATATTACCACCCATCCCAGGATTTTTTGGACTTTAAGTGAGAACTGCAACAGAGAACAATGCTTGACACAAAGCAATTGTGAAACTAAAGATGGAATTTCCAGTATTAGGGTTTTCTGTTTTGTTTTGTTTGGAGAAGAGGGTCTCTGTGGTTCTGCCAAATCATGCAACTGGTTTCACTGACCCAGGAACATGACCAAGGTCATAGGCTTCTGGCCCTAGAGCAATCCCCTCTGGCTGAAGGTGGCAATAAAAGCAGGTGGAGTCACAGCTGGGCTAATTAAAGGCAATGTCAAGACTGTCTCAGGAAGAACCTCTAAATAGAAGTGTGGGTGGCAAACCTTGCTTAATTATCAACGTGAAAAGCCTGTAAATTGAGACCTCAGGAGGGGAACATTCTTGCTTTGTTTCTGGCAGATAGAAAAGGCTGGCTGGGGCCTGATAGCCATCAACTTCAGTCATTCAGGTGGTTAGGAACACCCCCCAACTGTAGGCCTGTAGGCAGGCCTACACAACGCCCCAGCAGGAGTAGGATGTCTCTGGCTACAAAAGAACCAGTTCTGGCCTGAGATAAGCAAGTTTCTTGTGGGATCTAGTTGATGTTCTGTAATGTCAGTTTAGGCTGATAGGGTATTTTATTGAATGACACAAATTCCAGCTTCAGTAACAGTACCTCAGTGTCAATGTGAATGTAAATAGATTGTCTTATAAAGTGAGAAAATATGTGCACAGTGTCACCCCTCCGGTGAACCTCTGCCCTCCTGAGCATATGAGCTATGAGACCACACTTGGCACCTGTAGGCACCTCTCACTCCTTTACCCAGCACACACAATGACCTCCTTTATATGCCGCCTGCCAGGCTGCATGGGAAGGGCCCTTGGTGTGCGCATTTTGACTACAGTAATACTGTACGTGGTAATCATTAACCTGAAATGGCATTTGCGATGATGAGATGGTGCTGTGTGCTGCTCTCCTTCATCTCTCCAGCAAACACAATGTACTGACTCTAAAACAGGTACGACCAGTTGCTGCCAGGCCCTCAAAGACACAGTGTTCTACTGTGGAATTAGCCATACATAATGGGCCCATTGAATCAGGCAGCAGGCACTTTCCTCTCTGGGCTGCACAGATAGAGGAGTTGGGCCTAGACCCCAGGGACTGGTGGGTAGGTTTGGGTTTCTAAATGGGCTTTGTTCACTCACTGGAAGAGAAAACTCCAAAGCTGAGCACAAAACCCAGGGAACTGAGCTTAAAGCTTCCAACGGATTCCCTCAGTGGGAGTCAGGGGCTGAGTAATACCTTTGGTGACTTCATAAATAAAACAAGGTTTCTCACCTGAGGGCCTTTCTGCATAATGGCTTTGTTAGGTAGGGACAGGTCAGGCTTTAAGAGTAGCCGGGGTTGTGGTGAGGGAAAAGGCACAGAGGAATTAGGTAGTTTACTCAAAAGCACACAGCTAGCGTACCTTGGGACTGGAAGCAAGACAGTTCTCCTGATTCTTGTATTTTGGCCTCTTTGGAGGCCCAAGGAGGAATTACCTTTGCTTGGGAAGTTCAGTTCCAAGCAAGGTTCCTTCCTTACACTAGGAGTCTAGGCATTGTTGTTCCTTCCTTGTGTGTTCCTTCCTAATAGTTACTTGGATGGAGGAGGAGAAGCAGTGGCTATGGCAAACTTGGAATAGGAGAAGGTGGGTCCTAGTCTGGGCCCAGCGACCTCTAACTCTGTGATGGTAGGTAGAATCTTTCAAGTCTTTGAACCTTGGTTTCCTTATCTCCCTGAAGAGAAAGCCAGAACAGGTGATCTCCAGGGTCAGCCACAGGATTCACGTTCCGTAGATAGCATTCCACCAAGAGCAGGAGATCTCTGACCAGAAGCTGCTGAGAAAGCTTCATGGGAAGGGTGGGGTGGGGGTGAAGAGGCCAAAAAGGAAAAGGAAGCACTTGAAAAGCACCCCACTAATATGGGGCTTTTACCTTCTTCCCAGTGACTTATGAGAGCCCTCCTGAAAATGGTTAAGTGCTAATGAGGATCTTGGAGTTTGTTTTATTTAACTCTTTTCTTTTCCAGACCCTGGATTTTCAGACCCA
Source organism: Homo sapiens (assembly GCF_000001405.40). Taxonomy (NCBI): domain Eukaryota; kingdom Metazoa; phylum Chordata; class Mammalia; order Primates; family Hominidae; genus Homo; species Homo sapiens. The sequence goes on along the minus strand of NC_000011.10, from coordinate 34,824,712 downwards.
AGTGACTTGCCCATGGCCACAGAAGAACTGGTGGCAGATCTGCTTCCTATCTGTAGCTCTTTCCACTGCTCACATGGCCACTTGTGTTCAGCAGCTGGTGACTAGACCAGCTCTCAGTTGGCAGCAGCATAGCAAATACAGACTCCTGTGGACATCTAGTAATGCTGTGATATGGATGATTGAGCCCACTCTGTGCTATGCACATTACCTACATCAGCTCAGTAATTTTAAAATTCAAAGCCTATGACAGGTGTGTTTTCCTAGGTTCAATATAAATATGTGGGAAGTAGAGCTGAGAGGGTGATTTGCCTGAAGTCACAGGTTTAAAATTTGACAAGACATCCAGGACTAGCATCAAAGACCCTTAAGTTCAAGTCATTCATCAAGGGGGACTGCCTTTGGTTTCTGCTCTTGGCTCAAACTAACTGAGATATTAGTACTTCTACAGCCTCCCCATCTACCTGCCTCCAGATATAGCCGAACCCAAGGTGCAGAATCTATTCACCTAACCATTGCACCATACTGCCCTGCTAGGGAGGAGTATGTTGGGCCATGGACTCTGACTCAGAATTATGGAAATATTCCATAAAGATAGTTTTTTAATAATCTCAGCATTCCTGATTAGAAAACCAGTTGGCCAACAGGGCACCCTTCTAGGGAGCCGTGGCTGTCCTTGGTACACTGGGAAAGGGTCCTGGAGACAAAGCCCAGTTCTCCTCTATGCCCTCCAGCTTCTGAGAAAGGGTTTCTTCTCCTTCTGCAGTGTTTATAGGCAGGCTATACACTGGATCTGGCCAGTGGGTGACCTCCCTCACAGTGAGAGTTTGTCTAGAAGCCTCCAAAGAGGGAAAAAAAAGAAACCTTTGTAATCACTCTCGGGCTCCAGCTGCTAAAGCAGACAAGAAAGCAGCCCCAAGATCCTGGAAACTCTTGCCCAAAGGAGATCCTGTTTCAGTGTCTTTGTGTGAAAGTTGGTGTTGAGGGGACGGGGGAAGATGGAAATGCTGGAGTGATTAGTGCTTGGCAATTCTTATGTAGGGGCAATTGTCACCTACAAAATGGCCAGAGCAACTTCAAGCACTGTTTGCTCTCTTGTATGGAAGAGACTAATTCCTGAGATAACCTTCAGAATTGATAACTGGGGAGTTTGTCTGTTTTCCAAATGGATAGGCCAAATCCGGCCCTAGGAGACTTAGTAACTGGCATTCTGTCCCAGAACCCTGGGGTGGAGGCAGAGAAAGAAGCCAACTTGCCTGATGTGTTGCCAAGTGCCTCCCTCACTCTGGGTATCATGACATCAGGTCATCTAATGTGCCTCCTGTGACATTCGATTCTAGGAAAAAATGCCTGGCTTTGTCAAAGAGAACTAGCTGACCTCAGGAGAGAATGTACCCAGAATCACGTGGCCCCTTGGGGCAGACCTGAGGTAGAGTCCCTTCAGTTTCACAAGCAACTGACTCTAACTTAAAGTCACTGGTGCTTGTGGATCCAAAGCTCATGAAACATGGTCTATGAGGTTTTTGATTTGTCTTATACTGATTGTGCCCTCACCAAGTGCCACTGCTAAAATGCCTCTTTTTCAGGGAAGCCTTCCCATAACCCCCGTCAAGATGAGGTCCCCTGTGATTTTATTCCTGGGGTTCTCCCTGGCAGTCCTAATCCCAATAATAATTTAAATAATTATTTGCCCAATTATTTGTTTAATATCAGTCACCTCTCCCAAGCTGTCAGCTGTACAGAGGAGGTTTAGTGTCTGGCTGATTCATCAGGACCTAGTATAGTCCTTAGTAGCCATTTAAGAAACATTTGTGGAATAAAGAAGGAGGGGACATAGAGACTATTATATTTACCAAAGGATGAGAAAATGTTGGAACTAGAATTTCCAGGAGTGATAAACTAACTTGTCCAAGGTTACATGGCTGGGTAAGAAGACATCTAGGACTAGCATGTAAGAGCCTCAGGGTCAAGTCATTCATCAAGGGAATTACTTTTAGTTTCTGCTCTTGGCTCAAACTATATGAGATATTAGTTCATCTGCAGAATCTCCCCATCCCTCTGCCTCTAGATATAGTTGGAATCAATTCACTTTTCTGCATTCGCATTTCCATAAACCACTATCATCTCTTGGCTGGAATTCAAGAGTTTCCTAGGTTTTTCAAATGCTTCCCTGTCCCTCCTTTACCGTCTTCTAGACAAAAAGATTGGGGTGAGCTTTTAAAAACATGCAGCATATTGTACCATTCCCCATCTTATAGCCCACCAGTGGTGTCCGTAATGTAATCACAGTCACTCCTTACAAAGGCCACAAGCTTTATATCATCTGAACCTTGTGTCCTTCTCCAAATTTCTCTACACTCTTGCATTCACTAGCTACACTCCACCCATGCTGACCTTTTTTTCTTCTGTTGCTCAAACATTTTAAGTTTGCAGTTTCTTTTGGCTGGAACACTTTCTGGCAAATCTGCACATCTTTTTCACACAATGTCACCTCCTCTGACCATCCTGTATAAAGTAGCTCTCCTGTGCCGCCACACTACTCTCTGTTACATTTTTCCATTTTGGTGACTCCAAAGCATATATCACTCTCTGAAATCATCTTCTTTACTTGTTTTCTTGTATATTATCTGTCAAATCATACCCTAATGTGACTGCCAAGAATTTGGGGACTTTGTCTTGTACACTATTGTGTGTCCAGCACCTAAACCAGCACTGCATATGTATTTATGGAATTGGTTGTGCAAATTAGTGTGTAATCACATCTATATAATTGGAGATGCTACAATTGATTTTTTTCCTGAAGGTGATGACAAAAAGCGAATGCATATAAAACCCTAGAATATATGCTTGGACAGGGAGGGCACTTGGGTAGGTCAGCTGTTCCCCAGATTGGTCAGCATCAGAATCACCAGGAGAGTTGGTTAAAAAAAAAAAAAAAAAAATAGAGCTTCCTGGGAACCTCTCAGCACCTACTGGATCAGAACATCCAGGGCTGGGTCATGAAGTTGCTGCCTATCGACAGAGAGTGGGCCAGTTTGGAAAGTCACTAAGTGATAGGATCTGACGCCAAGTACATGTTCCTGCCTTTGAATCTGTATCTGCACTTCTGGGAAATAATCTTAACCACAGAAAAGACTTTGTGTACAAAGATATTTATCTCACTTTGTTTATAGAAGTAAAAATTAAAAAACAAATGCCCCCAAACAGGAGAAGTGATTAAGGAAACCATGCACGATATGATATCATGGTTTGATGGATATTAAAATGAATGCCTATGGGGAGGCTGAGGCAGGAGAATGGCGTGAACCCGGGAGGCGGAGCTTGCAGTGAGCCAAGATCGCGCCACTGCACTCCAGCCTGGGCGACAGAGCGAGACTCCGTCTCAAAAAAAAAAAAAAAAAAAAAAAAGAATGCCTATGAATATGTTTCTGCATGGAAAAGTAGAGTTTCTGACTTTATGCTAGAATGTAGAATGGTTTGTGGGTTATAATCATGGTTAAATGCACAAATTCTGGGAGCTGACTACAAGGATTGAAATTCTAGCTCTGACTAAGTATGTGACCTTAGGCAAGCCACTAAACCTCTCTGCACTTCTGTTTTCTCACCTTGAAAATGGGGATAATTATAGCATCTGGCCGAAAGTGGTATTGTAAGGATTAAGTGAGTTAATGTATGTGACATATGAGGCCCTCTAGAAACATTAGGTGTTATTATTATATATGTGGGAGAGGAGGCTAGAAAGAGTTATATTAAAAGGCTTAGCAATAATACTAATCTTGTTGGATAGGAGTAATTTTTCTTTTCTTTTCTCCAGTCTTCAAGAGGTGGTTCTATTATCTCCATAATATGTTAAGTATAATGACAATCAAGTCTCCAGCATTGGGATGGGGAGTGGGGACAGAAGAAGACAAATGCACAAAGACTCTTTGCACATATAAAATTTCATATTAAAATATAAAATATGAAGTTAATAAAGATTATAGCAACTACTTTTACAGCACCTATTTGCCTAAGTTGATCCAGCCACTAAGTAGCCAGGCTGCATTTACAACCTAGAACAGTCTGATTCTAGACCATATGCTCCTTGCTCTGAACCACATTATTTATCCAAAAAAGTGAATTTACATCTTCTCTTCTCTTTCCTTACCGGTCAATACAATTGAGGGGCTTTTAGCTATTCATGTATTCATTTACTCACTGAATGCCTACTTGCAGTGTAACAGCTCTGCCCTGGCACGCTGCAACTTCATACATAGCCACATATGCCACACAGCCAGACAGTTAAACTTCAGCTTATCTGAGTCTTGGGAAAACGTCTGTGATCCTCTTGGAACCCCAGAGTATGTGAGGCTTATGAAGAGCTGCTCTGAGGTCATCTGCCTTCTACCTTTCTATCTTCCCAGGGAGACTATCTCAAAACCCATCTCATCACTTCCTGGGTACTGATGACGTATGGGGCTTTCTGCCACATTCTTCTCAAAATAGAGCTGTGGAATATAAAACTACTTAGCTGCGGTCTAAAACCACATAGCTCCTTGATATAGTTTGGCTCTGTGTCCCCACCCAAATCACATCTTGTAGCTCCCATAATTCCCACATGTTGTGGGAGGAACCCAGTGGGAGATAATTGTATTATGGGAGTGTGTCTTCCCCATGCTGTTCTAATGATAGTGAATAAGTCTTATGAGATCTGATGGTTTTAAAAATGGGAGTTTCCCTGCACAAGCTCAGTGCTCTCTCTCTTTGCTTGCTGCCATCCATGTAAGACGTGACTTGCTCCTCCTTGCCTTCCAACATGATTGTGAGGCTTTTCCAGCCATGTGAAATGGAAGTCCACTAAACGTCTTTCTTTTGTAAATTGCCCAGTCTGGGGTATGTCTTTACCAGCAGTGTGAAAACAGGACTAATACAGTAAATTGGTACCAAGAGTAGGGTACTGCTGAAAAGATACCCAAAAATGTGGAAGTGACTTTGGAACTGAGTAACAGGCAGAGGTTGGAACAGTTTGGAGGGCTCAGAAGAAGACAGGAAAATGTGGGAAAGTTTGGAACATCCTAGAGACTTGCTAAATGGCTTAGCCCAAAATGCTGATAGTGATATGGACAATAAATTCCAGGCTGAGGTGGTCTCAGATGGAAATGAGGAACTTCTTGGGAACTGGAGCAAAGGTGACCCTTGTTATGTTTTAGCAAAGAGACTGGAGGCATTTTGCCCCTGCCCTACAGATGTACAGAACATTGAACTCGAGAGAGATGATTTAGGGTATCTGGCAGAAGAAATTTCTAAGCAGCAAAGCATTCAAGAGGTGACTTGGGTGCAGTTAAAGGCATTCAGCTTCAAAAGGGAAGCAGAGCATAAAAGTTCAGAAAATTTGCAGCCTGACAAAGCTATAGAAAAGAAAATCATTTTCTGAGGAGAACCTCAAGCTGGCTGCAGAAATTTGCATAAGTAACAAGGAGCTGAATGTTAAGCCCCAAGACAATGAGGAAAATGTCTCCAGGGTACATCAGAGGTCTTCATGGCAGCCCCTCCCATCACAAACCTGGAGTCCTAGGAGGAAAAAATGGTTTTGTGGGCCAGGCCCAGAGTCCCCAAGCTGTGTGCAGCCTAGGGACTTCATGCCCTGTGTCCCAGCTGCTTCAGCTACGGCTACAAGGGGCCAACATAGAGCTCAGACCATGGCTTCAGAGGGTAGAAGCCCCAAGCCTTGGCAACTTCCATATGGTGTTAAGCCTGTGAGTACATAGAAGTCAAAATTGGGGTTTGGGAACCTCTGCCTGGATTTTAGAGGATGTATGGAAATGCCTGGATACCCAGGCAGAAGTTTGCTGCAGGGGTGTGGACTTCATGGAGAACCTCTGCTAGGGCAGGGCAGAAGGGAAATGTGGGGTCGGAGCTCCCACACAGAGTCCCTACTGGGGCACCACCTAGTGGAGCTGTAAGAGGAAGGCCACTGTCCTCCAGACCCCAGACTGGTAGATCCAGAAACAGCTTGCACTGTGTGCCTGGAAAAGCCTAAACACTCAAGGCCAGCCCATGAAAGCAGCTGGGAGGGAGGCTGTATCTTGCAAATCCATAGGGGCAGAGCTGCCCAAGACCATGGGAACCCACCTCTTGCATCAGTGCGACCTGGATGTGAGACATGGAGTCAAAGGAGATCATTTTGGAGCTTTAAAATTTGACTGCTTTTCTGGATTTCAGACTTGTATGGGGGCCTGTAGCTCCTTTGTTTTGGTCAATTTTTCCCATTTGGAAGAGCTGTATTTACCCAGTGCCTGTGCCCCCGTTGTATCTAGGAAGAACTAACTTGCCTTTGATTTTCCAGGCTCATAGACAGAAGGGACTTGCCTTGTCTCAGATGAGACTTTGGACTGTGGACTTTTGAGTTAATGCTGAAATGAGTTAAGATTTTGGGGGACTGCTGGGAAGGCATGATTGGTTTTGAAATGTGAAGACATCAGATTTGGGAGGGGCAGAGGTGAAATGATATGGCTGTGTCCTCACCCAGATCTCATTTTGTGGCTTCCATAATTCTCATGTGTTGTGGGAGGGACCCGCTAGGAGATAATTGAATTATGGGGGTGGGTCTTTCCTGTGCTGTTCTCGTGATAGTGAATAAGTCTCACAAGATCTGATAGTTTTAAAAATGGGAGTTTCCCTGCACAAGCTCTCTCTCTTTGCCTGCTGCCATTCATGTAAGACATGACTTGCTCCTCCCTGCCTTCCACCATGATTATGAGGCTTCCCCATCCATGTGGAACTGTAAGTTCATTAAACCTCTTTCTTTTGTTAGTTGCCTAGTCTCAGGTATGTCTTTATCAGCAGCATGAAAACAGACTAATATACTCCTCAACTACCAGGTATCCCACAACTCACGTAGTCATCAGGCCCCTTTGGTTCTAATGTTATCCTCTTTGGCATGTGGGACAAGGATCACAGGGGCTGGTGCCTTTGGTTCATCCTTCTCTTCACTGTCTATGTAGGTAATAAACTGTCTAAATCCCAAAGTGGCTCATTGTACCTTTACCTGTCGAATCACTCAGGCCTTACCCTTGGCTTTACCTTTTCCTGTGGGGTGCATCAGTGAATAAAACATACAGTCTCTGTTCTCATGAAGCTCACATTCTAGTGGGGTCACAAACCACCAAAAAAAAGGTCCAATAAATAAGTGAAGTCTATATGATAGAAGGTTATATGGGAAACAGAAGTAGAGACGGGTAAGGGGGTCTGCAACTTAAGGTAGGAGGCAGATGGCTGTATTAAATAGTCAACAACATCCATCTCATTGAGGACATGAAATCTAAGAGAAGATTTGGAAGAGTTGAGGGGTTTAGCCAAGGACATGTTTGGGCAGAGGAAAGAACTAGAGCAGATGTGCTGGAATGTGCAAGAAAAAACAGGCAGTCAACTATGGCTGAAACAGAATGAGAAAAGGCAGGCATAGTAGGAGCAAGTGAGCAAAGAAAGGAACCGATCCAAGAGGTAACAATGGACCAGATACCTCAAGGCCTTGTGAACAGTTTTAAGGACTTTGGCTTTCAATTGAGGAGATGTGGGAAGCCATTGCAAAGATTGCTTTTAACGTTTTTATTGAAAAATAAAAGATACAAATAGAGAAAACTACGCAAAACAAATGGATAGCTTAGTCAGTTATGATGGGGCTGTGCTCTTCGAACCACTTCTCAGATCAAGAATTAAATTTGCCATTCTCCCCAGAGGCCGTTCCATGGGCTGTGTCCCAAACAGAGTTCACTGCCTCTGCCCAAATGTGACCACTAGTCTAACTTTTATACTAACCATTTTCCTGGTTTCTCTATGTTTCATCACCCAAGTTTGCAGCTCATCTCTAGTCACTGTAGTTTAATCTTGATATGTATTTGAAGTCTCTTTTAACCCATGGGTATTTCTCTATCCCTTTCTTTTCCCTACCATTTATCTGTTGAATTACTCAGTCAATTTGACCTATAGTTTTTCTCATGCTTGATTTTGTTAATCATTGTATGGTTTGAAGCAGAGGAGTGATATGATCTGATGTAGAGTTGGAAAGAGTCATGGTGCCTATTGTGTTGAGATTGAAGGGCAAGAAGGGTGCAAAGAGATTACTTAATGGGTACTGCCGAAATTCAGAGAGAAATGATGATGTGGCTTAGACCAGAGTGGTAGAGGTGGAAGACACAAGAAGTAGTCAGATTTAGGAGATATATATATATATATATCTCCAGCCTGCACATATACCCTTGAAACTAAAAGTATATATTAGATTGGTGCAAATGTAATTGCAGTTTTTGCATTGTTGAAATTTGCCATTTGATATTGGAATATATATCTTGAGGTATGTTCCTCCTATACTCAGTTTGTTGAGGGTTTGTATCATAAAAGGTGTTCAGTTTTATCAAATGCTTTTTCAGCATTTATTGAAATAATCATATTGTTTTTATACTTAGATCTGTTAATGTGATATATCATGTTTGTTGATTTGCATATGTTGAACCATTCTTGTATCCCTGGGATGAATCCCACTTGATCATGGTGAATAATCTTTTTAATGTTTTGTTGGATTTGGTATTTTGTTGAAGGTTTTTGCATCTGTCTTCATCAATGCTATTGGCCTGTAGTTGTCTTTTTTTGTTGTGTCCTCTGGTTTTGGTATCAGGGTAATGCTGGCCTTGTAGAATGAGTTTGGAAGTATTCCCTCCTCTTTAATTTTTTTTGAAGAGTTTGAATAGAATTGGTATTAGTTCTTCTTTAAATGTTTGTTAGAATTCAGCAGTGTAGACATCAGGTCCTGGGACTTTTTATTACTTTTTTGATCTCATTACTCACTATTAGTTTGCTAAGGTTTTCTATTTCTTCATGGTTCAATCTTGGCAGGTTGTATATGTCCAAGAATTCATCCACTTCTAGGTTTTCTAATTGTTGGCATATAGTTGTTCAGAATAGTCTAGTGAGTCTATTTCTCTGGTTTCAGTTGTTATGTCTCCATTTTCATTTCTGATTTTATTTGAGTCTTCTCTTTTTCTTAATCTTGCAAAAGGTTTGTCAATTTTATCATTTTCAAAAAACCAGCTTTTCATTTCATTGATATTCTGTAACTTTTTTAGTCTCTGTGCTATTTATTTCTTTCCTTCTACTAATTCTGGGTTCATTTTATTTTTGTTATTCTTTTTTGAGGGGCATTATTAGATTGTTTATTGGAAGAATTTCTACTTTTTTGATATGAGCATTTATTGCTATAAACTTCCTTCTCAAAACTGCTTTTGCTGTATCTCATAGAGTTTTAGTATGTTTCATTTACATTTTCATTTGTTTCAAGAAATTTTAAAATTTCCTTCTTAATTTTTCATTGATCTGTTGATCATTCAATAACATGTTCTTTAATTTCCATGTGTCTGTGTATTTTCTGAGGTTCCACTTGTTATTGATTTTTAGTTTTATTACATTGTGGTTAGAAAAGATACTTGGTACGATTTCTACTTTTTTGAATTTGCTGAGACTTGTTTTGTGTCCTAAGATGTGGCCTATTTTGGAGAATGTTCTATTTGGGGATGAAAAGAATGTGGTTTTTTTGCAACAGTTATGTCAAATGTTCTGTAAATGTCAGCTAAACCTATTGGTGTAATATGTAGTTAACTTTGATGCTTCTTTGTTTTCTGCCTGGATGACCTACCCATTACTGAGAGTGGGGTGTTGAGGTCCCCTACTATTATTGTATTGCAGCCTATCTCTCCCTTTATATCTGTTAATCTTTGCTTTACATACTTGGGGGCTTCAGTTTTGGGTGCACAGATATTTATAATTATTATATCTTTTGCTGAATTGACCCCTTTATTATTGTGTAGTGACCTTCTTTGTCCTTTTATATAGTCTTTGATTTGTAGTCTGTTTTATATGATATCAGTGTAGCTACTCCTGCTTTTGTTTGTTTGTTTCCAATAGCACAAAATAACTTTTCTCACACCTTCATGTTCAGTCTATGTGTGTCTTTATAAGTGAAGAGCATTTCTTGAAGGCAGCATATAATTGGACCTTGGTCCTCTGTCCTTTTAGCCACTCTATGCCTTTTAGCTGAAGAATTGAGTCAAATTTACATTCAGTGTTATTGATAAGTAGGACTTATTATTGTCATTTTGTTGCTTGTTTTATGATTGTTTTGTAACTTCTCTCATCCTTTCTTCCCTTGCTGACTTCCTTTGTGATTAAGTGATTTTTTTCCTGCTGGTATATTTTGATTCACTGCTTTTAACTTTTAGTTAATATACAATAGATTTTTACATTGTGGCTATCATGAGGCTTACAAAAATATCTTATAGATATAACAAGTGATTTATTAAGAAGACAACTTGTATTAGATAACAAAGAAAATAATAGAAATAACCCAAGAAAAAAGAGAAAAAACACTATAGTTTAACTTCATCCCCCCCCACATTTTGATTTTTTATCATCTCAGTTTACTTTTTTTTTTTTTTTTTTTTTTTTTGAGACGGAGTCTTGCTCTGTCACCCAGGCTGGAGTGTAGTGGCACGATCTTGGCTCACTGCAAGCTCTGCCTCCCGGGTTCACGCCATTCTCCTGCCTCAGCCTCCCAAGTAGCTGGGACCACAGGCGCCCGCCACCATGCCCGGCTAATTTTTTGTAGTTTTAGTAGAGACAGGGTTTCACCGTGTTAGCCAGGATGGTCTCGATCTCCTGACCTTGTGATCTGCCCGCCTCGGCCTCCCAAAGTGCTGGGATTACAGGCGTGAGCCACCGCGCCCGGCCCAGTTTACATATTTTTATATACCCTATCTCTTAACAGGTTGCTTTGGCTATTACTGGTTTTGATAGATTTGTCTTTTGGGCTGTATACTAGACTTACAAGTGGATTGCACACCATGATTACAGTATTATCATTCTGGGTTTGTCCACGTACTTAATTTTGCCATTGGGTTTTATAATTTCAAATATTTTCTTTTTGCGTGTTAGTGGGTTTTTTTTTTTTATTTTAGACTAAAGAACTGCCTTTAGCATTTCTTATAAGACAGGGCTGGTCGTGGTGAATTCTCTCAGCTTTTGTTTGTCTGGGAAAGACCCTGTCTCTCCTTCATATTTGAAAGAGAACTTTGCTGGATACAGTGTTCTTGGATGACAGTTTTTTTAATCACTTTGAAAGTGTCATTCTCCTCATTTCTGGCCTGTATGGTTTTCATTGAGAAGTTTTTTGCCAGATTAATTCAAAGTTCCTTATATGGTCTTTGTTTCTTTCCTCTTGCTGCTTTTAGCATTCTCTCTTTGTGTTTGACCTTTAAGAGTTTGATTATTATGTGCCTTGGGGTAGTTCTGTTTGGGTCAAATCTGTTTGGTGTTCTTTGACCTTCCTGTACCTGAACATTTATCTCTTTCTCCAGTTTTGGAAAGTGTTCAATTATTTCTTTGAATAAGCTTTCTACCCCTTGTTCTTGCTCAACTCCCTCTTGAGTAATGATAATTCTTAAATTGGATCTTTTAACGTAATTTTCTAAATCTTGTAGTTTATCTTTTTTCCTTGTTATTTTTTATCCTCTGTGTATTTTCATATAGGCTGTCTTAGAGCTCACTGATTCTTTCCTCTGCTTGATCAATTCTGCTGTTGAGATCCTCTAATAAATTTTTCTGTTCAGTAAATGTATTTCTCAGTTCCAAGATTTCTGTTTGATTTCTTTTTATTGTTTTAATCTCTTTGTTAAATTTATCTGATAAATTTCTGAATTGCCTTTCTGTGTTGTCTTGGAGATCACTGAGTTTCCATAAAACTGCATTTTGAATTCTTAGAGAGTTCATATATCAGCATCTAGTTAGGGTCAGCCACTGGTTCTTTGCTTTCTTCATTTGGGAGATCATGATTCCCTGTTTTTGCTGTTTCTTGTTGATGTATGTCTACATCTTGCAGTGAAAGATTATTTATTCTAGTCTTATTTGTCTTGCTTGTTTTGGTTTTTATTGGATTCACTTGTTTAGAAATTCTTTGTAATTTACCTGTTAATTTATTTCCCCCAACTAGGTTGCTGTCTCATTTTAGATACTAGATGGTTTCTTAAGCCCCACTTGTCTTGGTTCTAGTAAACAACCAGAGTGCTGCCCATCTTGAATGACGGAGGTCCCAAAGGTTATATTCCAGTAGTATGGAAAGGTAGGCTAGGAGCTCATGCCCAGTGGTCCTGTGGAACAAATCTCCTACAGTATGGTGCTGCTGAACAACCATTCTGATTTGGTGTTTCCTTTGGCTGAGTTACAGAGCAGTGTTTCTAAGCCTGGGAATCATAGTCCCTCTCCTTTTCCTTTGGCTATTCCAAGGCTAATTTTTCCTTCAGGTACTTGCAATGCTTCCTATGGGTTGAGGCAGGGGCAAGTCCACGGCCAACAAACCCAAGATAGTGGAGAAGCTGGCTGTTCACCTCAATCTCAATTTTTTCTAGTGTAGAAACCATAAATCTAGGAAAAATTTCCTGCATGCTTGGTGCTGAGCAGATTGAGAAAACGGGCATCATGGACATGGAAGTCTGATTTTCTTACCATCTGCTTGGATTTTTTTTTCAATCTTCTGTGGCTGCAGGAACTGTCTCATTCTTACATTTAAGTTCTGGTATATTGCTGGTGATAATCTTTGAACTCTATATTTGTTTTAGGTTTTCTTTGGGGAGTTGGGGAGGAGTGAAGCCGGCTTGCTTTTATGCCATCATTTTGGAACCAGAGTCCAAGGAAACTTTTTGAGGTGATATGTATGTTATATATTTTGATTATAGCAGTGGCTACATGACCAATATATTTTTCAAAACTTACGAAAATGTATTCTTTAAAAGGGTGAACTTTATTGCATGCTAATTATACTGCAATATACCTGAGCAAATGAAAAATAAAACAGTAGGAAAGGAATTGTAGTCATCAAAAAGAGACAACTCTCTCAAGGAGTTTCCTGAAAATGAGCGCCATGAAATGAGACATTTGCTGGTGGGGGAAGTCAAGTCAGAGTTCACTTACTTCAGTAAAGGTTTTAAAATTTGTTTTGTAATTATTATTATTTTTTTGATGATGGAAGCATGAGCAGTGAATTCATTGGTTGATGGAAATTATACAAAAAGGAGAGAAGAGAATTGCTGGAAAGATGTCCTTGAATTGGTGAGAAAGAATGGGATCTAGAGTGAAGGTACTGGCTTCGTTATCAAGCATGAACAATTTTCCAATTGTAACAGGAGGGAGGGCATAACATGAGGTTCTAGGTGCTAGCGGTTGACAGATGTTGTGGGAATCTAGAAGTTCTCTTCTTATTGCTTTCATTTTCCCTGTGAAGTAGAAAGCAAGGTCAACAGCTAAGAGAGGCTTTCTTCTTTTAAATGACTAGTCGCTAACTTGAACCTGACACTTCTCTCTGCCTCTCTAGACTATAAGCAAGAATGGAACATTTCTTGCATGATTGTATCACCAATGAATGCTTCAAGTGCAATCAATAGACTAGGTAATTGGGCCACACAATGTTAAGCAATTCCATTTCTTGTTGTCAATTTTTTTTTTCTTCTTCTTCTTCTTCTTTTTTTTTTTTTTTCCTTTTTTGATGGAGTCTCGCTGTCACCCAGGCTGGAGTGCAGTGGCACAATCTTGGCTTACTGCAACTTCCACCTCCCAGGTTCAAGTAATTCTCCTGCCTCAGCCTCTCGAGTAGCTGGGACTACAGGTGCACACCACCATGCTTGGCTAATTTATTTATTTATATTTTAGTAGAGACGGGGTTTCACCATGTTGCCCAGGCTAGTCTCAAACTCCTGAGCTCAGGCAATCCATCTGCCTTGGCCCCCCAAAGTGCTGGGATTACAGGCGTGAGCCACTGTTGTCAATTTTTGAAAAGCTAAACTGACCAGCAACTTTGAGGCCAGGTATTCTTAGCTAAATATCTGTAGTTTTTTTTTTTCCTGCAGCTTTTGTCTTCCTTGTTTGTCCTTTATTTGAGTGTCTATTTTCTCTACTAAAAAGGTGTGAACTGTCAATGTGGGCTAAGCCCAAGAGGTCTCTGACTTTTGAATCTGTCCTGCCTCTTATCTCCAGATGGCTGTTATTATATTAATGGCCTTCTCAATCCCTAAGATAAACTTGATTTTTCACCCCCATAACTTACTTTTCTTTGTGTTTTGTATCCCCATCTCAGTAAATGCTATAATCCTGTACTCAGTTGCTCAAGCCCATAAGTTTGGAGTTATTTAATTTCCTCCCTTTATCACCATTCCCCATTTCCTCCATAGTCAGGCTATCAGGAGGTGCTCTTTGTTCTTTTTTCAAGATGTCTCCAGGAATCAGTGAACTGTTCTCTTCATCTCTACTTCCCATAACTTAAGCCAGACCGCTACCATCATCTTTCCACCTGCGCTGTTAAAATCATCTGTAATAGGCTTTCTGCCTAAGCTCCCTGCTCTCATAGAATCTATTCTCCACTTTGACACACAGAGTTCTGTCTGACCTGAATCTTAATTACTTCTCAAACCTCCTATCTTGCTGTCTCTCCTTGCTTATTCCTGCCTAACTGCACTGATCTGTAATTTATTTAAACCCACCATATTTTTTCTAGCTCAAAGTAGTATTTTCTCTGTCCTTTGACCTGAAATGTTCTTCCCTATGCTTCTAAAATGACTGGCCTCTTCTCATTTTCAAGGTCTCTGCATAGTTGTCACCTCCTCAGAAAGGCCTTCTCTGACTACTTTATCCAAAGTAGGTTTTCCCAGCCCAACTTCATCATCCCTATAACACTCTAACGTAGTTGTTTTGCTCCTGTCCCCAACAACCTTTTTTAGTCTTTTTCTTCACTGCACTGAGAAGCTGAATATGCAAACAGACAATGACTAAACCATATATAAAAGTAGAATTCTGACTCAGAACCTGCAGCAACCTGCCCAGGAAACCAGCCTCCTTATCTGCAATAAACAGTTCAGGAAGCCAGCCTGTTATAAGTCAGACTTGCAGGAAGCCAGATTGCTATCTTTAATGACAATTCAGGAAGCTAAAAAAATAACTCATGTAAAAATTGGCCCAAAATGGCCAAGACTTGATTAAAAACTGAAAGCTTCCCTAAGTTTTATTCCTACTTCCAACTTACCACCCACCAGAGAAAACCAAATATGCTCCCCTATCCAATAACACAGGAAACCCATTTCTAGTTATCCTGCCTACAGCTTCCCATGCCAATAGCCTCCAATCAGGGCACACCTGAAGCCTTCCATTTTTTCCACTACAAGGCTTTCCCATTCCCACTCCTCTACTTGCCTTTGCATTTCTGCAAAAATACAAGTGACAGTGGCTGATCCTCTTGTTCAGAATAAATTATTTCTCAAGCTCAGAATAAATAGCCTTTGCTTTTCTCATTTGGTTGGTATTAGTTTATTTCCACAAGAATAGACCATGCCTTGCTTATGATTGCATCATCAAGGCAACAATGCATGGGACCGTAATATTCACTCAATAAATGCTTGTTGAATGAATGAGTGAATGGAAGTCAAAAATCATTATTAGTTGGATAGTCAATCCCTTCCCAGCCTAGCTTCAAATGTATTCCTCACTACATCCACTCTTACGTTCTCCAAGCACACTTTTCTTGATCAAATGCTCATGGTTTATTGCCTGTTCTCATGGTGTATTCTTTTCTATAATACAACTGAAGCCCTTTCTTCTCTATGAAACCTTATTGATCACCCTAACCTTCACTGACTTTTCCTTCCGAATTTATACAGCACATGCCACCTCATTTGGTATTTAATTTCTTTCAGTTCATAGGGTGTCTTTTCTCCTGGGATTGATGGTTATACTTTTGTACCATTTGTTGTGGTACAATGATAAGAATAATGATAGTTACAATAGTTTTATAACAACCCTGTGAGATATACACTATTACTATTCTCGTTTTGTAGATGAGGAAATTATAAAACTGAGGCACAGAGAAACCAATTCTCTTGCTTAAAGTAATGAATTAGTAGGAAGTAGAACTGAGGTTTGAATTCAGTTCTGCCCGACTTCTTTACTATATATACTCAAAACTGTATATTGTATAAACTACCTTCTATATGCTGCGCCCATATTAGGTCCTCAATAAATGTTCCTGAAATTAATGAAATAACCCAGTTCAAAAGTTGCATAAACAAAAGAGAGATGGAAGCAGAACTCCGTAGGTTAGTTTCAAAGGGTTAAAAGGAGCAAGGGACATGGGGACTACAGTACTTAAATTACTGACCCCCACATTCTAAGTTCTAACCTTTGTCTCCTATTGCGACCCTAGGACAATTCATTTTGTCTCCAAGGCTTCATCCACCTCATGTCATATTGTTACTTTGACCTGTCTTGAGTCTGGTTCTCTAGATGGGTCCAAAAAATGGCTGAAGGATGTTTAGTGACAAAACTCAGCAGTTCTTTTCCTGGTGATATACGTCACCAATATACATCGATTCAGCCACGCTTTTTGAGCTGTGGTGCTCAGTGCTAATGAGGATGCCAGCACCAACCAAAGAACATGTCCTCTAGCAGTTTGTAATAAAGAACCATGAAATTCAGTGAAGACATAGACTTTCCCTCCCTCTTCTGTATCACAGTTAGGGTTAATTGCTAATTCATGTGGTATAGATTCCCACATAATTTTGAGTACACATTAGGTCGAATGGTTGGAAAAATCCTTTTGACCAGCTAAACATGAGATGTTCTAATGCCATTGTAACTACAAAATTGTCATGAACCTGTCTCAGAAAATACTTGAAAGCACTTGGAAAAGGGGTTGTTGGATTAAGCAAATATGAATGTAGTCTGTGTTTGGGAACATCTTTGAAGAGATCTAGGTGACATCAAGTCTGTTCTGGAAGCATGGAAGATTGTGATGTGTGGTGATTATAATCCTATTAGCTGCTGCAGTGAAATCCATGAGATTACCATCAGCACATCCAATTCATTAAGTTTTGTCTCTACCAAATGAGGAATAACCCACTTGAAGTTCAAATTTACAAATTGTTAACTTCGTCATCACAAACAGGTTGACACGAGTTTAGAGTTTGGGGGAATAGAGTTGCTGTTTTATTTGGCATGAGATTAAGAGAGTTGAGGAGAGATTTGTTGCTGTCTTTGGCAGAAATTAAGAGACAATGTTTTTACCATAGTTTGATGACAACATATTGAATTATCTCCCATGCTTTAGGGTCTCATCTGAGGAAAATTTTAATGGTTCTCAGTGTTTTTAGTTTGACTCTTGCTGAGACTAATACTCATATAACTACCCATTGGTCAAACTGGGAAAAGAGGTGAAGGCAGCAGTGTATGTTTGTGGGGTTGGGGGTGGTGGGGTGGGTTGGATGTGGATGGTGACTTTAGGTTTATTGACTTCTCCTTTCAGTCATACCCCTTGTCTTTGGCAGCACTGTGGTCACATGCCAAGTCAAGTTTGGCAATTTTTATTTCATTCTTTTGATGGGCTGGGAATAGAAAAAGTCATTTCCTATTGGTTTGTCTCTGAAAACCTGAACAGTCCTGGTAAAAGCTTGGTACGCTTCTTGGAATCCTGGGTGTCAATACTTACTAAATGCCTTTGCCCTTCCCCTGCGGTTACTGATTAGATTTGGTGGAGTGGAAGGAAGTGAGGAAGTGGAATTTGATGGTAATAGCCTTTGCTGCCTGGCTAGTCTCACACCTCTCAATCACGTGAAAGTGCACGTCTTCTTTGGGACCAACTGGTGTGTTGGGTTGCCTATGTTTAAAAAAAAAAGTCTTCACCTTTCTACTTGTCTGGACTCAAAGGTAATCCTAGAACGCATTAAGATGAGGAAAATAAATATAGCCTTTATTGTAACCCAGTGTAGGACAAAAAAATCTGCTTGCTTACCAAACAATAAGTGTATGTGTAGTTTTCTTAGCTTGCATATTCTCCATATTTCTCTGTTAATATTTAATATCTGCGAGAGTAAAGCACCCTAGTCCATCAGTAACATACAAAGTCAAACCCCATGGGTGGGAATCTCTGGGAGACTAGGACATTTTTAGAAATCAAATACAGGAGTCACAGAATAGTAGTCTTGAAAGAAAAAACTGATGGCTAATAGATTCTAATGGAAAAAGGCCAAACTGAAGCTAGTGCTGATGAATAGTGCTGTCAAGGTCACATGACTTTTCAAGGCAAACCGAGAATTCAGTGAGACTCCCAGAGCTTCTGGTTTGATGTTTGAATGACCACATGTAGATTTGGAGAAAATACACATATCTTTTATGTAAAATCTGATGTTTTTCAACATTTCCAGGTTGACTGGAATCTTGCCCTGCTCTCCTGACTTGTATGTGAATGTATGTATATGAATCAGGGCACTCAGGTGAACCACTTTAATCTGGAAATGTTAAAAAAATCTTTCGTAGAAGTAGAGAAAAATTAAATGATCCAAGCCTCCACTGCAAGTTTCAATGTGTCATGATTTTCTGTGTTTTCGCTTGTTGAAAATGTTCTATCTCCAAAGAGCCTTCTCTTGGTTAGAGACCTAGTCAGGGCCACTTGGATCAATTAGCTGTAAAGGAAGAGCTCACGTGGTCAGTGCCTTGAGGCTGAGATATGATACCAGTGAAACCTCTCTCAGGATGCAGCTGAAGAGATTATACATATGGACAAATGCTATACGGGAAATGGCTGTTATCTTTTAGCCTACTAATATACTATTACAACGCTAGGACAGGGAGCAGATCTTCAATCACAGAGTCCCCAGCAGCTAGCAGAGTAGGTCCTCAGTAAGCACTAGCTGTGGGAATGAATAAACCACTGACTTCACTACATTCTTTACATATAGTAGCCAAGCAAAGGGCAACAGAGTTAAGGGGAAAGAACAAATTTAAAGAAAGATCATCTCTTTTGACCCAGAATAGTGATAAGCTGAAAAGTGTTCTTTAAGAATATCACTAGTTCTGCCTCCTTGTTTAGAGATTCAAGTGGGCTTCTCTTTAAACTAGTTCTTCAGACTTAATTGATGATCCCCTCTGAGCCTTGTTGTCTTCATTTGAAAATGTAATTGATACAATATTTCCCTCATGAGGATTAAGTGAGGGAACGTAGGTGAAGCACCAGAAATGTCTCAGGTTTGTGGAAAACCCTAACTAAACATTATGATATAAACTTTCTGTCCCGACACCCTTTTCTGTAAAATGTAAGTAAAGCACTTAGCATTGTGTCTGGAATATATTACATGCTGATTTATTATAATCAATTATAATCAATGCATATTACCCAATAAATGATGATGGATATGGCTTTTTATTTGTGTTTACATGGTTGAATAGATTCTTTGTTTATTTCTATTTTTAATTGTGACCGTAATGGCATACAGCAAAAGCAGTGCTTATAGGCAAGTTTATGGTGTTAAATGCCTACATCAAAAAGATAAAAAGATCTCAAATTAACAACCTAATGTCATGCCTCAAGGAATCAGATGAACAAGAACAAATCAAACCCCAAACTAGCAGAAGAAAAGAAAGGACAAAGATCAGAGCAGAATTCAATGAATTGAGACAAAAAAAAGACACAAAGGATCAATGAAATGAAAAGTTGATTATTTGAAAGGATAAAAAAATTGATAGACCACTAGCAAGATTAACCAAGGAAAAAAGAAAGAAGCTATTAACAAGCACAACCAGAAATGATTAAGGTAACATTACAACTAATACTACAGAAATTCAAAAGATCATCAGTGATTACTCTGAGCATTTCTATGCACACAAACTATAAAAACCTATAGGAAGTGATAAATTCCTAGAAACATACAATGACCCAAGATTGAGCCAGGAATAAATAGAAATGCTGAACAGATCAATAATGAGTAGTCAAACTGAATCAGTAATTTAAAATCTCCTGACAACAACAACAACAAGCCCAGGACCAGACAGATTCATAGCCAAATTTTACTAGACATATAAAAAGAGCTGGCAGCAATCTTACTAAAATTGTTCCCAAAAATCAAGGATAAAGATTCCTCTCTAACTCATTCTATGAAACCACTATCACCCCCTATAGCAAAATTAGGCAAGAGCACAACAACAAAAGCAAAGTTACAGACCAATATCCCTGACAAACATAGTTGCAAAAATTCTTAACAAAATACTAGCAAACTGAATCCAGCAGCACATTAAAAAACTAATCCTCTATGATCAAATAAGTTTTATCTCTGAGACACAAGGCTGGTTCAACATAGGTAAATCAATAAATGTGATTCATCATATAAACAGAACTAAAAACAAAAACCACATAATCATTTCAATTGATGCAGAAAAGGCATTCAATAAAGTTCAATATCCCTTCATGTTCAAAACCCTCAATAAACTAGGCATTGAAGGAACTTACTTCAAAATAATAAGAGCTGTCTATGACTAATGCACAGCCAATGCCACACTGAATGGAGAAAAGTTGAGAGCATTCCCCCTAAGAGCTACAATAAAACAAAGATGCTTACTTTCATCATTTCTATTCAACATATTACTGGAAGTCTTAGCCAGAGCTATCAGGCAAGAGAAAGAAATAAAAGTCATTCAAATTGGAAAAGAGTAAGTAAAATTATTCCTGTTCATTAATGACATGCTCTTTATTCTAGAAAACCCTAAAGATGCTGCCAAAAGAATCCTAGACTTGATAAATGACCTCGGTAAGGTTGCAGGATATGAAATGAATGTGCAAAAATCAGTATCACTTCTATGAATCAATAATGTTCAAGTTGAGAATAAAATCCATAACTCAATCCCATTTCAATAGCCATAAAAAATACCTAGGAATATGTTTAACCAAAGAGGTAAAAGATATCTACAAGGAGAACTATATAACACTGATGAAAGAAATCACACATGATAGACACAAGTGGAAAAACATCTCATAAGCATGGACTGGAAGAATTAATGTTAAAATGACCATACTTCCCAAGGAAATCTACAGATTCAATGCAATACCTATCAAATTACCAATGCAATTTTCACATAATTAGGAAAAACAATACTAAAATTCATATAGAACCAAAAAAGAGCTCAGATAGCCAAAGCAATCCTAAGCAGAAAAAACAAAACTGGAAGCATCATATTACCTGACTTTAAATTATAGTACAAGGCTAGAGTAACTGAAATAGCATGATACTCATACAAAAGTAGACACATAGATCTATGGAACAGAATAGACAGCCCAGAAATAAAGCAACATACCTACAATTAACTGATATTTGACAAAGTCAACAAAAAAAAAATGGAGAAAGGACACTCTATTCAATAAATGGTTCTGGGATAACTGGCTAGCCATATGCAGAAGAATAAAACCAGACTCCTATCTCACACTGTCTACAAAAGTTAACTCAAGATGGATTAAAGACTTAAATGTAAGACTTGAAGCTATAAAAATCCTAGAAGAAAGCTTAGGAAAAATTTTGTAGGACATTGGCCTAAGCAAATAAATTATGAGTAAGAGCAAATGCAACCAAAACAAAAATAGACAAATGGGACTTAATTGAAAAGCTTCTGCACAGCAAAGGGAGTAATCAGTAAACAACCTACAGAATGAGATAAAATATTTGCAAACTATGCATCTGACAAAGGACTAATATTCAGAATCTATAAGAAACTCAACTGAACAAGAAAAAATAAATAACCCCATTAAAAACTGGGCAACATGAACAGACATTTCTCAAAAGAAGACATACAAGTGGCCAACAAACACATGAAAAAGTGCTCAACATTGCTAATCATTAAAGAAATGCAAATTAAAACCACAATGAGATACCAGCTCACACCAGTCAGAATGGCCATTATTTAAAAGCCAAAAAACCTCCACATTTGTTCTTTTTGCTTAGTCTTGCTTTGGCTATGCAGGCTCTTTTTTGGTTCCATATGAATTTTAGGATTGTTTTTTCTAGTTCTGTGAAGAATGATGGTGGTATTTTGATGGGAATTGCATTAAATTTATAGATTGATTTTGGCAGTATGGTCATTTTCACAATACTGATTCTACCCATCCATGAGCACGGGATGTGTTTCCAGTTGTTCGTGGCATCCATGATTTTTTTCAGCAGTGTTTTGTAGTTTTCCTTGTAGATGTCTTTCACCTCCTTGGTTAAGTATATTTCTAAGTATTAAATTTTTTGCAGCTATTGTAAAAAGGGTGCAGTTCTTCATTTGATTCTTAGATTGGTCACTGTTAGTGTATAGCAGGGCTACTGATTTATGTACATTAATTTTTTATCTTGAAACTTTGCTAAATTCATTTAGCAGTTCTAGGAGCTTTTTGGAAAGAACAAATCTGGAGGCCTTACATTACCAAACTTCAAGCTGTACTATAAGGCCATAGTCATCAAAACATCATGGTACTGGCATAAAATAGGCACATAGACCAATGGAACACACTAGAGAATTCACAAATGAAGGCAAATACTTAAAGTCAATTGATCTTTGACAAAGCAAACAAAAACATGAAGTGGGAAAAGGACAACCTATTCAACAAATCGTGCTGGGATAATTGGCAAGCCACATGTAGAAGAATAAAACTGGATCCTCATCTCTTACCTTATATGAAAATCAACTCAATATGAATCAAAGACTTAAATCTAAGACCTGAAACAATAACACTTCTAGAAGGTAAGATTGGAAAAATCTCTTCTAGACATTGGCTTAGGCAAAGACTTCATGACCAAGAACCCAAAAGCAAACACAACAAAAACAAAGATAATAGATGGGACTTAATTAAACTAAAACACTTCTGCGCAGGAAAAGAAATAGTCAGGAGAGAAAACAGACAATCCGCAGAATGGGAGAAAATCTTTATAATATATGCATCTGACAAAGAACTAATATGCAGAATTTACAAGGAACTCAAACAAATCAGCAATAATAAATAAATAATACCATCAAAAAGTGGGATAAGGACATGAATAGACATGGGGGGGATTGGAAGGCATTTTCCAGGGAAATTTTGAATACCTGTAATTTTCACCATATACACTACCTTAGGAACCCAATCTCTGTATAAAGTATATTGAGAGTCCCTGTGATACACACATGTATAATATTAGTCATGAGTGAAAGGGAATGGGAGAGTGGGAAGAGCTCATGACAACCTTTTCCCACTACTAATAAGAGCAAATAGTCAAAATATTTATTTAGTTCTGTCTTTGTGCCAGGAACCACATTAAGCACCTAGCTTGGATAATCTCATTTAACATCCACAGAAGTCCTGTAAGGTAGATATAGTGGAAATCATCCTTCTTTTATAAGTGACAATAGTGAGGCATGGAGGAGTGTTGTACTGTTCTAGATCATACCACCAAGTGACAGAGCTGATATTCAGACACAGGTGGTATGTATGTCCCCTGAACTGAGCTTTCATCCACTCTATAAGACTTCTGCATATTTGGGAAGCAACCTGGGGAAGGTCTCCCTAAAAGTGGGTCAGAATAAACACATTGATTTGCCTTTTCCCCCTACAGTGTATTAAAAAGCTTAAATACCATACTGAGAACAATATAAGTTAAGATAATGTGAGGTAGCATGATTGAAAGCCTATCATGTAGAAGAACACATTGTCTCTCTAGTTTTCATCAGAACCCTGCAAAGTAAGTAATTATTACTCTAGTTTTACAGGTTAGGAAATGAAGGCTCTCAGGATCTTGCCTAAGATCACACAACAGGTAAGTGGCTGAGGCAGGACTGGAATACAAGGTCTGTGCTCCTTGCAGCACACAGCCCTTTCTTTACAGGGAAGCAGCCCTTTGCAAGAAGATGCATTCTCATCTGCTTCTAGTTATCCAGTGAGCACAGCAAGACCTTGACTCTACCAGCAATATTGATGATAATCTGGGTTCCCTTTGCTCATCTCTGTGCCTATCTCTTAGTTGGTGCCACATGGGGATTTTATGAACAGCATCATAAAATTCATAAATTGCTTTGATCTCCTTTCAAACAACACACAAGGTTTTCCTGGCTGACCATGTCTTTGGCCCTAGTGTGACATCAATTATTTGCTTGAAGTCCTAGAAGTGATAACACAATGGGAAGCTGTCTTCTTTCACTCTCATCTTCTGTGTTGACTTACTTTCTTCTCAAAAAGCCCAGAGGTAGACAGAGAAATAGGAAATCATCTATCTCAATGGAAAGACCTACTAACTGGTTGCAAAAGCCAGAAGTCAAGAACTCTCCTTTTTCTCTGCCCCTTTTGTTCAGTCCATCAATAAGCCATTGACCTCTAGACCATCCCCATCCTTCCATTTAATGTCATCTAAAAATTCAGGACATCATGATGTCATGCCTAGAGGATAACTAACATCCCGATATGTCTGGGACTTTCTAGGTTTTAGTACTGCAAGTTCCACCTTCAGGGAACCCCTCAATTGAAGGCAATCCAGGATGGTTGCTCACTTCACTGGCCTGGTGTTTTATAGTAATCTCCAAATAGGTCTTTCAGTTCCCAGGTTTGCTTGCCTTTAATTCTATCTCCACCCACTAGCCCACACTGCAATCTTTTAACTGCATAGATTATCGTGTCATTCTCTGTTCTTAAAATCCTGCCTTCTACCAATCTAACTCTTTACCATGGATTACAAGGTACTACATGATTTAGTCCTTTGGTACTTCTCCAAATTCAACTCATTCCATTTTCCCCTTTACTATGCTGTCTGTGTCAGTTGCTCAACTGTGCCAGGCTCTTCTCCTTCCCAGGACCTTTGTACTTACTGTTCCCTTTTGCCAGCTCTTTGTATGTGCACATTTGTAACCATGTAGATGTGTGATTATTTGATTAATGTCTACCTCTGAGAATTAAAGATCCTTGACTCCCTAGCTCATCACTTAATCCCAAGGGCCTAGCACTGGGGCTGACACCTAATAAAGTTCCATGAAGTATTTATGGAATGAATTAGTGAAAGAATAGATTAATGAATATAGGTTTGTTAGTGAAACTGCTAATGGGATTTGCTACAGAGATTTGGTGGTCTGAAAGGCCACTAGGACACAATGAGCAAGGCTCCATGAGGCTGGATGTGAGGCAGAGGCCAGTACATGAAAAGCTTCTAAGGGAGTCAAGAAGTTGGGACATTGTCCAGAAGATAATGGGGAGCCCTAGAGATTTTGAGCTAGGGAGTGACATAATCACATTTATATTTTAGAAAACTGAAGTCAGGTAGGTAGGTAGGTTCCCACTTGTGAAGACATTTCTTTAACCCTGGGAGGAGGCAGGAATTAGGGTGTGCATTTGCAATGGGTCTTGCAGAGCCAACTGAGTATGACTGCTCCCTTGGTTAATTTTCTGGAAACAATCAGCCAATTATGAATCAAAGGCCTCTGTAGCTCCAGCCCAAAACTAATTGTATTTTTAAAATGTATTTAATCACAAATTAGAGATTGTGTAAAGGGCTTAATTGATGTCAAGACTGGCTTCCAAAGGGAGCAAGTCAGTAGTGCTATTTGTCCAGGATTGAATTTTATAACATATTGCACTAAGCTCATACTCAGGGAAGCAATGACTTCTATCCACTCTGAGTACTTTGTAGCCAGTGTTCATTATATCAAAGGGGAGTAGAAAAGCAGGTGCAGTGGGTGAGTGAGTGTTAACTACAGTAAATACATAAGAGTTGGAATGCTGCCACAGAAATAGAGATGAAGCCCAGGTCAGGAAGCAAGAGTTAGGATCAAATAGCTCAGTATTCTCAGAAATCAATCAAAATTATTGAATAGCTATGCAATCTTGAACAGGTGACATTAATTCTCTGAAATTTACTTTCCTTATCTGTAAAATGAATGGGATGTCCTATGATCTCCTAGTTGTACATCTCCCTTCTTTGTGTTATATTTTTTATGTGTATAGTAAGTTACTGCTTTTTTCATGTATCAACTTCTGTGATATAGAGTTGTATAGCTGCCTCTGTCTCCACTATTAGGTAGAAGCTCCTTAAAGGCAGGGAATGTATTTTTTTCTCACTTTTGAATCACTCAACAGTACCTAGCTGTATTAGTCCATTCTCACACTGCTAATAAAGACATATTCATAACTGAGTAATTTATCAAGGAAAGAGGTTTAACTGATTCACAGTTCAGCATGGCTAGGGAGGCCTCAGGAAACTCACAATTATGGTGGAAGGGGAAGCAAACACATCCTTGTTCACATGGCAGCAGCAAGGAGAAGTGCCAAGCAAAGGGGAAAAAGCTCCTTATAAAACCATGAGAACTCACTCACTATCATGAGAACACAATGAGGGTAACCATCCCCATGATTAAATTTCCTCCCACCAGGTCCCTCCCACCACACATGGGGATTATGAGAACTACAATTCAAGATGAGGGTTGGCTGTGTCCCCACCCAAATCTCATCTTGAATCAGGCTGCATATCATTCATTTCACCCTTGGCACCTCCCAAATCTCATGTCCTCACATTTCAAAATACCATCATGCCCTTCCAACAGTCCCCTAAAGTCTTCACTCATTCCAGTATTAACTCAAAAGTCCAAGTCCAAAGTTTCATCTGAGACAAGGCAAGTCCCTTCCACCTATGAGCCTGTAAAATCAAAAGCAAGTTAGTTACTACCTAGATACAATGAGGGCACAGGAATTGGGTAAATGCACCATTCCAAATGGGAGAAATTGGCCAAAACAAACAGACTACAGGTCCCATGCAAATCCAGTAGGGCAGTCATTAAACCTTAAAGTTCCAAAATGATCTCCTTTGATTCCATGTCTCATATCCAGGACTTGCTGATGCAAGAGGTGGATTCACATGGCCTTGGGTAGCTCTGCCCCTGTGGCCTTGCAGGGTACAGCTCCCCAGCCAGCTTCTTTCATGGGCTGCTGTTGAGTGTCTGCAGCTTTTCCAGGCACACAGTGCAAGCTGTCAGAGGAGCTACCATTCTGGGGTCTGGAGAATGGTGGCCCTCTTCTCATAGCTCCACTAGGCAGAGTCTGTAAGGGCTCCAACCCCACATTTCCCTTCTGCACTGCCCTAGTAGATGTTGTCCATGAGGGCTCTGCCTCTGCAGCAAACCTCTGCCTGGACATTCAGGCATTTCCACACATCCTCTGAAATCTAGGTGGAGGTTCCCAAACCTCAATTATTATCTTCTGTGCACCTGCAGGACCAACACCACATGGAAGCTGTCAAGGCATGGGGCTTGCATCTTCTGAAGCCATGGCCTGAGCTGTATCTTGGCCCCTTTTAGCCATGGCTAGAGTGGCTAGGGTGCAAGGCACCAAGTCCCTAGGCAGCACACAGCAGGTAGGTCCTGGATCCGGCCCAGGAAACCATTTTTTCCTACTAGGTCTCTGGGCCTGTGATGGGAGGGGCTACCATGAAGAATTCTGACATGCCCAGAAGACTTTTTCCCCATTGTCTTTCAAATTTATGCTTATACAAATTTCTGCAGTTACTTATGCAAATTTCTGCAGCCAGCTTGAATTTCTCTCCAGAAAATGGGTTTTTGTTTTCTACTGCATCATCAGGCTGCAAATTTTCCAAACTTTTATGCTCTATCACCTCTTGAATGCTTTGCTGCTTAGAATTTCTTCTGCCAGATACCCTAAATCATCTCTCTCAAGTCCAAAGTTTCACAGATCTCCAGGGCAGGGGCAAAATGCTTCCAGTCTCTTTGCTAAAACATAACAAGAGTCACCTTTGCTCCTGTCCCAACAAGTTTCTCATCTCCATCTGAGACCACCTCAGCCTGGACTTTATTGTCCATATCACTATCAGCATTTTGGACAATGCTATTCAACAAGTCTCTAGGAAGTTCCAAACTTTCCCCATGATGGCAGAAAGGAGAAGTGTTGAGCAAAGGGGGAAATGCCCTTTATAAAACCATTGGATTGGCCAGGTGCAGTGGCTCATGCCTGTAATCCCAGCACTTTGGGAGGCCAAGGCAGGTGGATGACAAGGTCAGGAGATTGAGACCATCCTGGTTAACACAGTAAAACCCTGTCTCTATTAAAAATACGAAAAATTAACCTGGCATGGTGGCAGGTGCCTGTAGTCCCAGCTACTGGGGAGGCTGAGGCAGGAGAATGGCATGAACCTGGGAGGCGGAGCTTGCAGTGAGCTGAGATCCCACCACTGCACTTCAGCCTGGGCAGCAGAGCAAGACTCCATCTCAAAAACAAAACAAAACAAAACAAAAACTAAAAATCATTGGATCTTGTGAGAACTTACTCACTAATATGAAAACAGCATGAGAGTAACCACCCCCATGATTAAATTATCTCCCTCTGGGTACCTCCTATGACACATGGAAATTATGGGAACTACAATTCAAAATGAGATTTGGGTGGGGACACAGTCAAACTGTATTGCTAGCACAATATCTTTGACATAGTAGGTGCCCAATAAATGTTCTGTGAATCTAATTCAGGGTTCATTTCATCTCCAGAAGTCTACAATTATGGGAATTCTAGCTCAAGTGGTAAGTATAAGGATCACAGCATGAGGTTTTCCCAGGCATCCAGGAAGTCTCTAAACTCCACAAGCACCAGCTGGCCATGGTTTCCATCTAAGCTCAGGGGTCTTCTTCAAGGATAGCTTGGTTTTGGTTTCTCCTTTCTCTCTCAGCGAGGCTGGGTCAAGAGCTTTCTTTCTGGGCCCTGGTAACATGATTTGCATACATTTATCTTCACACTAACCACATTATGTTGCATTTGTATTGATGTTCCTGTCTCTCCCATTAGGCTGTAGCCCCAGTGGGAAACAAGGCTTGGCTCATTGTAAGCATCCAATGTAGATAACTCTGGGGACTTGTGGTTAGCTTAGTGATGTACAAGCCTGTGCAAAAATTTATTGCCATCATTGAAGTTTCCCCCTTGATCTTGCACTCAGGATGACAGGAAGGAGGATGACACTCAAGGTAGGATGTCATCCTCCTTCCTTTCTGTCTTCCTGCTGAGTGCTTCCTTGCTTTCATTCCAGCAGCATTTCAGAATCAGTATAGCCTCACATTCAACCTCCTCCAACCCCTCTAAAACCTCTTTTATTCTTTGCTAAAGGCTTCATCACTGAAACTCTATGTCATTGTTAACATTTGCCT
The DNA here is from genome assembly GCF_000001405.40 of Homo sapiens. Taxonomy (NCBI): domain Eukaryota; kingdom Metazoa; phylum Chordata; class Mammalia; order Primates; family Hominidae; genus Homo; species Homo sapiens. The sequence continues at coordinate 34,795,693 of NC_000011.10, read as the reverse complement.
TTGAAAACCACCCCCTACAGCCAAGTAGTTGTCAAGATACTTCAAGAATATACCCACAGTGCTTTCGTCTGTCCTGGCTTCTCCTTTCCCACTGCCCTGGTTCAGGCCCAATACTTATTTTAATTCTTTATTATGGAAAATGTTAAGCATATACAAACTAAACAGGATAGTATAATGAACCTCCATGTGCCTATCACTCAGTTTTTATAATTATCAATATTATGCCATTCTGTATTCCTGGCTCAATTATTTTTATTATTCTACAGTTATTTTCTAAGTAAGATAAAATTTATACAGAATTTACACAGCACAAATCTTTGTGTGCAAATTTGACAAATGGAGGCGTCTATTTAATCATGCTTCTATCATGATCTAGAATATTTTTATCTCCCAGTTTCTTTGTGTCCCTGCCCAGCCAATCACTCCTGTCCCCCAGGGCAACTGCTGTTCTGATTTTTCATCTTAGATTAGATTGGCTGTTCCCGAAGTTCATATAAATGGAATAATACAGCATGCATTCTTTTCTGTTCAGCGTCTTTCACTGAGCATAATGTCTGTGAGATTCCTCCATGCGGTTTCCCGCATCCATTATTCTTTTTTTAATACTGATGAGTAGTATTCTATCGTAGAAATAAATTATAATTTGTTCATCCATTCTCCAAATGATGGACATTTATTTGAGTTGTTTCTGTTTTGACTATCATGAGTAAAACTATAATGAACATTTATGTACAGCCTTTACATGGACCTAGGTTTTCATTTCTATTTGATACATCCTACATGCAAAATTGCTGAGTCACCACATTAGTTTTTGTCTGGATGGCTACAGTAATCTAGCTGCCATTTCTGCCATCTGATATCGGCCCACAAGTCTGGGCATCACACCATCTTCCTTTTCCCAAAGCAAAACTCTATCCATATCAAAGATCGACTTAAGAAGTTCTAGTGGTCCCTCCTTGTCTTCAGAGTAAAGTTAAGATTGTCTGGCCTGGCATTTATAACCCCTGCAACCCAACTTCAACTTTCTTTCCCCATATTGATTTCCTGCTTCTCTCTCGATATTCTGTGGAAGCTGGGGACATGGTCTCTGATCCTAGGCTCTTATAGGAACATTGTCTAAAAGGCATCATTTTACTTGACCCCGTAACACATGGTAGTGCCTAGCGCACAAGGGGACCCACACCATCTGTTGACTGGGCTAGTCAATGCTCCTCAGCCCCAGGGGTGTGGAGCTCACAGCTCTCAATGCAGAAACAGAGAAATGCCTGTAATGTCCCTGTGGCTCTCACTGCATCTTTCGAGAAGGGAGGCAATTAAACCAGGCAAGATCTCTCCAGACAGTAAGACTCTGTGATTCTGTGAATTTTACTAAATCCTCTGTGTCCAGAAATTCCATCTGGCTCATACCACTGATGTACCAATGGGAGAGTCTGAGTGGAATAATAAAAATAACACAGGAACGAAAGTCAGTGGTCCCAAGTTCTAGTCTCACTTCTACCATTTACTGTGTATTCTTGGATAGGTTCATCCTCTTAGCCTCCACTGCCTCCACTGGGAAACTGGGAATGCAAGTAAGGGGTGACCTTGATGATCAGTAAAATCAAACCTAAAATCACCCGATGGGACTGGATTTCCCAACATATTAAACTAGATCTGCCATTTCATTTTGTTGTTGTTGGCAGGTCTCTTTTCCCTTTTATGTTCTCTCTGTGAATTCAGTGCTGCCTAAGTACAACCCAAGCATTACTCCTTGTCCCCAAATCATCAGTGGTAGCAGCCAAAGCACAGTTAAAACACTAACTGCCAGCAGGACCTCACTCAATGGTGGTAAGAGTTGGTATCTCACAACATGTTTGCCTAAAGTAGAGACATCTGCTTGAGAGTACACCACTGCTACAGGACACTCTACAAGTTGGAGAATATCCACATAGCACAGAATGATTACACCATTGGCAAGAATCAGGCTGCACTGTTTCATAAAGAAAATAAAATGACCCCATTTCAGACACTTAATTTTTCTTTGCCTCTATTTGCTCAACTACAAAACGGGAATAATGAAATATCAATCCTGCAGGCTTTCCTAAAAAGAATAGATAAAAGAACAGATGTAGAATGCTTAGAAGTATATCTGACACACAGGAAAACTCGGTAAATATTAGATAATTATCATTATCATTAATGCTAATATCCACATCTTAGGGGACACAGAGGACTTGGAGAATGTGGACTCCACACTATAATTTGCAAGGCTTCAAGGTGCTTGGCATGTTCACCAAATGATTTCATTTCCTTATCCTTAGAAACATGTTCAAAATGGAAGCAGTGTCTCTAAGCGTCAGTAGCCTTTGTTCTCTGTTTTCTTGGAAATTGAATTTTTAAACTAGAAAGCTCATCTCTTTGAATCTGCAGTCCCTTAGTTCTCATCCCTGGATGTCCTCTATGGGTGACAGCAGAATTGACAGTGGGCTCCTTGTACCTTCTTGGGAAGAAGAGGAGTGAACGTCATACTCTTGGGAGGACAGAAGCCGAATGCTCCTGTGAGTGCCCTTCATGATAAGTGAAGAAAGGAGCAAAGAAAAGAAGAGAATGGCAGCAAACAAAAGCAAGAATTGTTCAAGAAATGAACCCTTTTCAGGAGCCTTCAAAGCCACTCTTTCACAAAGCCTGGCAGGGAGACAGTAACGAGCCTGGGTGAAAGCCAAGCATGGACTTAATTTATTATTGCCAAACTGTTTGTTGCCTTTATTTGCCAAGACTTACTAATTGAACTTTTGTTGATCTGGCTGCCCCTCTGGAGAATTGGAGCTATTGTTACCTGCTCTGTGAGTCCCGTGGAATGTGCCAAAAAATTGACCCCAGTTGCAGCTCATTTCCCTTCCTGGTTCAGGCTGCTTTTTCTTTCATGAATGTTTTTGTTTTGCTTTTCAGGTTCCAACCCAGAGTAGGTGTTTACACTGAATTAGTATGAATTTCACTGACCCAAAGGAAAGATTCCTGTTGAGAGGCCAGAGAGGACCCCCAAAAGGCCTATATGGAGACCCCCTTCCTAGACCTTCCCTTCATGCCCCAGCAAGTGGTACCCACACTCAGCTTCTACTACTTAGGGAAGGGAAACTCTAGACAATTGATTCTCAAACGTTTGTCCCAGGAGCGGCATCCGAATCACCTGAGAATTTGTTAAAAATGCAAATTCCTGTGCCCTACTCCATGGCTCCCAAACCAGCAACCTGTGTCTTAAAAAGCCTTCTAAGTGATTCTGATGTACACTGAAGCTTGAAACCAGTGCCTTAAGCCAGGGTTTCTCAATCTTGGCCCTACTAACACGTTGAGCTGGATGATTCTTTGTAATGGGGGCAGTCCTGTGCATTGTAGGAGGTTTAGCAGTATCCCTGACTTTTATCCACTAGAGGCAGTAGTCCCCCACCCCCACCCCTACCCCAACATGATATCTGAAAATGTCTCTGGTCATTGCCAGAGGTCCTGGAGTGAAGGAGGTAAATTCAGCCCTGGTTGAGATAATAGACAAACTGCTTGTTGTTTCTCCGGGCTCTGGGCTTTTGCTCTCTCTGTGCCATAATGGCAAAAAACTGCCACACGGTCTGTGTGGCTCCTTAGCATGAAATAATAGGCACAAGAAGTGGTAACCACAAGGCAGCTTCCTAAAAACAGATGGAGTTTTTTAACATTGATAAATCTTTCTTTTGTATCCAGCCCCAAGCAAGCACACATTACTTTCATTTTAAGAGCAAGTTCTCTTTCTCAGATTGCTTGGTATATTCAAAACAAAACAGAAAGCCTTTGGAGTTTGGCCTCCTCCCATCTGCCTATATGTTTGCTACCCCCAGGGCAGAAGAGACAGAGGGACTAAGTTCAGAGGTTCATATACCTATGTAGTGCAGACTGATGTGAATGCTGCATCTGCTGATCTTCCCTCTCACCATCAAAGTAGAAGATTTTCTTGTGCATTTCAGGACAAGTGTGTCCCAGTGCTCATTCTAAAGGGTTTCCAACTCTGGGTTCTTAGTGTTGGTGCATTTGCATTTGAAGGGTACCCAAACCAGAAAGTTTGCTATTAGACTTCATTCCCACCACTATCATTTCAGGGTTTTGACAATGCTTCCACTTCAGGAAGCTGGACTTGGCAGAAATCAGCCAAACCTAAACTCAAGTGTTCATATAAACACCAGCTGAAGATCACAACTCATTTGTTAATTTAGTTGGAATCTATTGAGCACCTACTATGTACTAGCACTACGCCAGATGCCCAGGATATACATAGAGAAGCATACAGCCTCAGCCTTCGGCGAGCTTGTTGTGAGATAAAGGTAGAAGCCATTTCAAACAGAATGCAGTCTTTGATATAACAGGGAACCATAGAGCAACATGGAAATATGCTTCACTGTTGAAGCTTCAGTGTCTGGCTCATAGTAGAAGCTTAATATATATTTGTTGAAAGAATGTTAGAGGGGACCTGTCCTACACAAACTGAAAAGATTAAAAAAAGAGTCTTGCCAAAGAAAGTAGTACTTAGGTTTCCAAAGAAAAAGCAAGAGTTGGCCATGCAGAGAATGGAAAGGTAATTTCAGATAGAGACAGTAGCAGGTGCAAGGACGATGGCATGGGAATATGCATGATAGCTTAGGGTGGACTTCAAGGTCTGAAAGAATTGTCTGAGGAAGTGACTTCCTGGTTGTCTATTGCTGTATAACAAACTACCCCAAAACAACCATTTAGTTTTGTTTGTAATTTTGTGGGTAAGTAATGCAGAAATGCTCAGCTGGATGGTTCATCTCTCGTTTACTTGGCATTACCTACGGCCACTGGGGCTGAAGATTCACTTTCAAGATTTTTTTTCACTGACATTTCTGGTGCCTTGGTGTTTCTTGGCTTCCCTTCCTCTCTACATATTTCATTATCTCATTATCCAGGGCTCCTCCATGTGGCTTCTCATGACATGGCAGTCTCAGGGTAGCTAGTTTCCCCCAGAGTAAATAATCTTAGAGTGAGTATTTCAAGAAGCCCAGGTAAAAGCTACAAAGCCAGTGGGGCACGGTGGCTCATGCCTGTAATCCCAGCACTTTGGGAGGCTGAGGTGGGCAGATCACGAGGTCAGGAGTTCAAGACCAGCCTGGCCAACATACTGAAACCCCATCTCTACTAAAAATACAAAAATTAGCCGGGTGTGGTGGCACCTGCCTGTAGTCCCAGCTACTCTGGAAGCTGAGGCAGGAGAATCGTTTGAACCCCGGAGGCAGAGGTTGCAGTGAGCCAAGACCACGCCATTGCACTCCAGTCTGGGTGACAGAGTGACACTCGATCTCAAAAAAAAAAAAAAAAAAAAAAAAAAAGCTAGGAAGCCTTTTGTAACCTAGCTTTGGAAGTTCCAGAACATACTCCTGCATTCTTATGATCAAGCAAGTCACTGCAGCCAACCCAGATCCAAGGGGAGGGGAGTAAGAGCCCTTTACCTTAGTAGGGGAATGGCTTGCCTACAGAAGGAGGGAGGAAATTTGATTGCAGCCATCTTGGAGGAAAGCTTCCTCATGTGGGTTGCAGGGGTTGAGGAACTTGAAACTAAAGAGTCAAGCCTGAAGAACTTGGAGCAGCAAGCTAAGGAGTGAGCAAGGTACCCTGAATTCTGTGAGAAGCCATGGAAGAGTTTAGCATGTGAGTGGTCTGATGGGATCCATTTTAGAATGATCTTTCTCTGCCAGCTGTGAGAATGGAGGAAGTGGGAGAAGACTACAGGCAGGGAGGTAGCCATGAAATCTCTATAGCTTGAAAGAGCAAAAGTGACTTGAGGGACTGAAGACTGGGGATGGGAGAAGGGGTGTCATAAGTGAGACTCTGAGGAGCATTCAGTTATCTGAGGGCTCTGACACCTCTCCCAACACAACCAAACCAAACATGTTCCCTTCAAAATGAGAGAAGAAAGGCCTCATTTTCCATTCCGGGAACTGGATGAGGGGTAAATGGCAGCTGGCAACTAAGCTTGCCCTCTGTGGCTTAATGGCAACACCTTCTCAGGTTTGTTCAGAGCTGCCACTGAGGAAAACAAACAAGATTGGTGTGAAGACCATTAAAAAAAGGCCTCAGAACAAAGACTCCACTTGGCAGCTGTTGCTCAGAGCTGAGTGAAAGAAACAAAAGAGTTTGTTGAGCAAACATGAAAGGAGCCTAATTGATGCAATTAAGGTGAAATTAAATAAAGGAAGGTTTTAGCCCGAAGTTCATGGAAAATTTTTCAAAGGAGTGTCACTGGAATAGTCATTCAGGGCTTTTAAATAGAGGGAAGCACAGGATGTGGGAAATTGGCCTATTTGACCCTTGGGAATGAAGCAAATCAAGTGTGGTGATGTGGGCTACACATGTACGACTGTTTGGCCCTGGCTGCCCCATCTTGGGCAGGGAGTAGGCTGGGGTTGGGTGCGACTGGGGAGGGATGAGACAGAGGCAGCCCAGGGGGATCATCTTTAACAAGACCACAGTGTCTTGCTATCACATCACCCCATTTTATTTATTTCATAATACTACTATCTGAGAGTATCTTGTTCATTAGTCTTAGTTGTTTACTATCTGTCCTTTTCACTTCAAAACACACACACACACACACACACACACACACACACACACACACACACACACACACACAATGGAACTCTAGGTCTTCTTGGAACACAATTTCCAAGATGCCCATCTGGCTGTGTTGTCATCCCCAAATGCTGACACCCAAAAGCAAACATCTGTACCTCACACATGATCGCAAGCACTGCTCAGATGTCTCAGAACTGTGCCACAGGAAATTAATACCTGAAATCAACCCAAACAGGTCAATTTATTTAACAAACCAGTTACACAGGCCCTACTATATGCCAGGTACTCTTTCAAGCACTTTACAAATATTAACCATCTGGTCCTTGTAAGGACCTGTGAGTCAGGAATACGCTTGTCTGCATTTTACAGGTGAGGAATAGGAATAGAGAAGTCAGACTGTGTCTGAGGCACTAAGTGGAAGAGCCAGGACTTGAACTCAGGTACTGGACTCCAGAGGCCACACTCTCAACCCCTACACTAGGCCCCTTTGAATTGTAGTCAAGGCAGGATTCATGGACCCAGAGTATGAAATCCACTGGGAGCAGTGTAGCAGCACCATCTGAATCCTTGGTCTGGTTCCTTAGCATCTCACTCTCATCGGCTTTGGCTGCCAAGCACAAAGCCCACCCTCCTGCACTGATTGATGGTGGATGAAAGGAGACATCTAGAAACGCTGAAAACACATCTGGATGAACTCATGTATTATCAATAATTAGAATGTAGGCCTTTCACTGGGAGGGAGGAATCCATTGCAAGGAGGCCCTATCCTTTTATTAGAAAATGCATAAAATTTTAAAAATCTGATCAGGGAAAATTAGGGGCTTTGAAAGAGACAGGGAAAAATATAGGATGAAAAAAGCATAGAATTATAGAGATAAAAATATTACAAATAATTCTAGTTTGATTTTCTCATATCACAATGGCGAAAGAAAGACCTACATTAATAGTTGTTGAATGTAATGTTTATTTAAAATGCCAAGGGACTCATTTGAAATGTAAATTCTGGTATTACTCCTAAGCATCCACCAGAGATTATGAATCAGTGAAATATCTGATTCATGAATTCTGGAGTGAGGCACAGGAATCTGTCTTTTAGTGACAGATTCAAAGACAGGAATCTGTACCTTATCAACTGATTTTTGAGTCAAGCTTTTTCTACAGAAATGCAAAAATGTCTTTTTTTTAAAAAAAAATCCCATGCTAGTCAGTATATAGTGGTATCTCAGTGTGGTGTTAAGTTGTATTTCTGTAATAACTAATGATGTTCAGCATCTTTTTTTGAGCTTTTTGTATTCTATGTATCTTTGGTGAGGTTTCTGTTTCAAATTTATTGGAAGTTCTCAATTAGGTTGTCTTCTTACAGAGTGAAAAAGTTCTTTACATACTTCAAATAGATGTTCATTATAAGGTAAATGATTTATTACATTTTCTCCCAGTCTGTGGTGTGTCTTTTCACATTCTTAATGGTATTTTCAGAATGCAAACATTTAAAAATTCTGATGAAGTCAAATTTAGAAATGTTTTTCCTTTTATAGATTGTGGTTTTCATGCTGTATCTAAGAACTCTTTGCCTAACCCAAAGTCACAAAGATTTTTTTCCCTATGTTTTCGTCTAGAAATGTTATACTTTCAGTGCTTACATTTAGATCTATGATTCATTTTTAATTGCTATTTTATGTGCAGAGTAAGTTAGCATCTAAGTTGATTTTGCTACATATGGATATCCAATTATTCCAGCTTCATTTTTAGAAAAAGACTATTTTCTCATCCATTGAATTACCTTGGCATCTTTGTTGAAAATCAATGGATCATAAATACACGGGTTTGCTTCTGGATACCCTACTCTGTTTTACTGAGCTGTATGTCTATACTTATGCCAGCACTACACTGTTTTGATTCTTGAAGGTTTAATTTTGAAGTTAAGTAGTATAAATTCCCCAACTTAGTCTTTCTCTTTCAAAATTGTTTATTCTCTTCTATGTCCTTTGCATTTTCATATTAATTTTGGATTAGCTTGTTAATTTATACAAATAGATCTGAAGGAATTTTATAAAATTTGTGTTGAGTTTACAAATCAATTTGAAGGGAATTACTATTTTAAAAATACTGAGTCCTTCAAGCTATGAGGAGGGTGTGGCTTTCAATTTATTTGGATCTCTAATTTCTCTGAGGAATATTTTGTTGGTTTGAGTATTATGTTGTACTATTTATGTTAATTTATTCCTAAGTATTTTGTTCTTTTTTGATACCATTATTAATTAAATTATTTTCTTAATCTTATTTTTGGATTGTTCATTGCTAATAATATAAAAAGACAATTAGACAATTAGTTGTGTATCTTGAGTTTGTATCCTGTGACCTTGCTCAATTTGTTTACTTGTTTTAATAGTTTTTTTTTCTAATACAAAGCCACCTGTCTTCAAATAAAGGTCATCTTACTTCTTCCTGTCTGATCTATATGACTTTAATTCCTTTTTCTTGACTTACTGCACTGGATGGAAACTTCAGTACAATGCTGAAAAGAAGTGGTAAGGGTGAATATCCTTTCCTTAATCCAAATTTTAGGAGAAATGAATTCAGTCTTTCACCATTAAACATCATGTTAGCTGTAGGATTTTGTAAACTATTTCCAGCTTGCTGAGATTTTTATTATGAATAAGTGTTGGATTTTGTCGAATGCTTTTCTGAGTCTATTGAAATGATCATATAATTTTTACCCTTTATTCTATTAATATGGTGTACTATACTCATTGAATTTTGGATTTTAAATAGACTTTACATTCTGGGATAAAATCCACTTTGTCATGATAATTCTTTTAATATGTTGTAGATAAAATTTGCCAATATTTTGTTTACATAATGATTACATTTGTGAAAGATATTGGTTTGCAATTTTTTTTCCTTATAATTTATTTGTCTGACTTCAGTATCAGGGTAATAATGGCCCCATAAAATAAGTTGCTAAATGCTTTTTATTCCTCTACTTTCTGATAGTTTGAGTAGGACTGGTATTATCTTGACCTTAAATGTTTGATTGAATTCACCAGTAAAGTCATCACTCTGGTCCTGAGTATTTTTGTGTGTGGAAGAAATATTTTAAATTTTATTACGTTATATTATCTACTTAGATTTAGTATTTCTTCTTGAGTCAGTTTTGATAATTTATGTCTTTCTAGAAACGTGTTCGTTTCTTCTGTGTTGCCCAATTTAATGCCATGAAGCTCTTCATAATATTTCTCATAATATCTTAATTTCTGTAGATTCTGTAGTGACTGTAGTGTAATGATTTTATACTAGACCTTAATAATTTGTGTCTTCTCTCTTTTTTTCTTAGTAAATCTGGTTAATGTTTATTAATTTTGCTGATTTTTACAAAGAATCAACTTTTGGTGTGACCAATTTTTTTTCCCATTTTTTTTCTAGTTCATTGATTTTTACTCTAATCTTTATTTTTCCTTTCTTCAACATACCTGATTTTATTTCCTTTCTTTTGTGTATGGGGATACAATCTTAGATTATTCATATTTGAACTTTTTTGTTTAGACTATATATATTTAAAGTTAAAAACATATCTTAAGCATTGCTTTAGCTGCAATCCATAAATTTTGTTACACTGTGTTTACATTTTCTTTTAGCTCAACATACTTTTAAATTTCATTTGTGACTTCTTCTTATACCTATAGGGTGTTTTGAAATGTGTTAACTTCTGAATAGTTGGAGATTTCCAATATTTCTTTCGATTGCTGGGTTTTAGTTTAGTTTCATTAGGGTCAGAGAGCATACATCTAATAATTTTGATTCTTTTACATTTGTTGAGACTTTTAAATGGTGTAGAATATGGTCTATCCTGGAGAATGTTCTAAGGGTGTTTATAAAGAATGTGTACTTTACTGCTGTTGGGTGGAGTGTTCTATACATATGTGTATGTTGGGGTGCAAGGTGAAGGAATGAAATGATAATTAAGATATAATTCTTGCCTTTTAAAGTTGTTTCATTCTTGCAAAGTGGTGGTTTTCAACTCAGGGCTATTTTGGCCCCCTGCTGACCTTTGGCAATGTCTGGAGACATTTTTGGTTATCACTAACTACTGGGGTCCAGTGCCACTTGCACCTAATAAGCAGATTCTGCTAAACATTCCACAATGCACTGGCTAGCCCCCCACAATAATTATCTGTCCTAAAATGTCAATAGTCCCAAGGTTTAAAAACCTTGCTTTAGAGGATATAAAAGGGACTTAATTATAATTCAAAGCTTCAGAGGATAATTTTCATGCTATGCCAATTGCTGTACTGTGGCTAAAACTGATCAACCCTTTAGCAATTACCACACCTCTCACATGTTTGTCTGTTTTTCCCACTAGACTTTGAACCTCTTGAATGTTGAAATTTACCCAAATATTTACGATGGTTGAAAGCACAGAGACAAAGTTGGATTTCAATTCTATTTCTGTGCTCGCCAGGTGTGTGACTTTGGGCTGGTTACTTGACCTCTCCAAACCTCAAATTTCTCAGTTGTATAATGTGAATAATGCACCTACCTTATAAGATTGTTGTGAAATTTAAATAAACTCATCAAGGAAGGTACTTGACACAGTCCTGACACATATAGTCATTATTTTGTTATTGTTATTGTTATATCCAGTACCTAGCCCAGTGCCCTGCAAATATGTACACATAAGCAAATGAGTTATTGAGTCATCTTCCCTTACCTTCCTTACCTCCACAGCACACACAGGCTATACAGAGTAATCCTGACTGAGATAAAACCTGTCCCTTTCTACTCCCGCTCCTTACTTTCTGCAGAGGAGACCACCTATGGCTGTAGGAGATGGACAGGAGCCCAAACAGGACAAACAAGTGCAAGGCAAACATGGATTGACCTCAGTTTCACCCTTCGGACTCCCACTAACCTGATATGAGATAGTCACACAGGAGGCACTGAGGTCATGCCCCAAACAGTCCCATGATCTGTGCACCCAGCATCACTCTGAGCCAACTCCCTTTGTTTTGCTTCAGAGAAGCAGTTCTTTCTTCTTAATGGCCACAAAGCCTGTCACGACACTCTCCACCCCATTCCTGAGTCTTGGGCACTTCACACTGGGAGTCTCTGTCTGTTGGGCAACCCTTTTGATCAATATTAAAGGCCTTTGGGTCCCTCCCTAAGTACCTCATCTCTGTTCCCATCTACTTCTGAGTGACTTGGCAAAGATCACATCTGTGAATCAATTTGCTAACTTTTAAAGTGGTGGTTGAAGGTGAAGCTTTGCCAACTTGATATCTTACTATGTTTGCTTTTGATGGAGGAGTCATAGTGAAAGAAAGGACACCTCCAGCCCTAACAGAGCCCCTTGGTGTATAAAGAAGGATTCACATGGTACCAGAGAACCTAAGCAGCCAGGAAGACACAGAGCAAAAGCTGAAGTTGAGAAGAGAGAAGGGTTCATTCAGTTCATTTAACACAGGGCACTTGCCTCCATTTTACTATCTGGTTCCTACTGTGCCCTGAGGTTGGTAAACAAAATATGGAGACTTCCTTTTTATCAACATTTATTTATAGGTCACTGATCGATGTCCTCAACCCTCATAACCGAAAGAAGCCATTTTTGCCTACACACTTAGTTTCTCTGTATGTTTACCTAGAAGCTTGCCTTCTCTAGTGACAGGATACAGCAGAGATCAAGACTAAGCAAGGACAAAGTGACCTGAATCTAAAGAAATAAACGTATATGCAGCAGAAAGCATTGGGGATAGAGTGTTTGCTTTATTTTTAAAAAATCATGAAAAGGATATTCCATTTGCTATTAACATTAGAGACTTAGAACAAACATTTCTACTTTGTTGAATTCTAATATAAAAATAATTATACCTACTGAATGCTGAGTTTGTGCTGGACACTGTTCTAAATACTTTACATGTATAAATTAATTTTATTCATAATAATTAATTTTATTTAGGTTTTATTCAAAATAGTTAATTTTATTTCATAATAATGAAAATAATAATAACTACTAGCCAGTTGAACCCAGCAGCATATCAAAAAGTTAATGCACCATGATTAAGTAGGCTTTGTTTCTGAGATGCAAGGTTCAACATACAAAAATCAATAAGTGTTATTCACTACATAAACAAAACTAAAAACAAAAACCATACGATCATCTCAATAGATATAGAAAAAGTTTTCTTTTCTTTTCTTTTTTTTTTTTTTTTTTTGAGACAGAGTCTCGCTCTCACCCAAGCTGGAGTGCAGTGGTGCAATCTCGGCTCACTGCAAGCTCCGCCTCCCAGGCTCACGCCATTCTCCTGCCTCAGCCTCCCGAGTAGCTGGGACTACAGGCACCCACTACCATGCCCGGCTAATTTTTTTGTATTTTTAGTAGAGACGGGGTTTCACCATGTTAGCCAGGATGGTCTCGATCTCCTGACCTCGTGATCTGCCCGCCTCGGCCTCCCAAAGTGCTGGGATTACAGGCGTGAGCCACCGCGCCCGGCCGGAAAAAGTTTTCAATAAAATGCAACATCCCTTCATGATAAAAACCTTAAACAATCTAGACATTGAAGGAACACATCTCAAAATAATAAAAGCCGTCTATGACAAACGCACAGCCTACATCATACTACATGGACAAAGCTGGAAGCATTGCCCTTGAGAATTGAAATAAGACAAGGATGACCACTCTCACCACTCCTTCTCAACATAGTACTGTAAGTCCTAGCCAGAGCAACCAGGCAAGAAAAAAAAAAAAAGACATCCAAATAGAAAAAGAAGTTAAACTATCTCCCTTTGTTGACAATATGATTCTATACATACAGAACCCTAAATAATTTGCCAAAACACTCCTGCAACTGATGAATGACTTTAGCTGTAGAGTCTAGCTAAACTAAACAGCCTCTGACAGCAAAAGAAATTACCAACAGAGTAAATGGACAGCCTACAGAATGGGAGAAAATATTTGCAAACTATGCATTTGACAAAGGCCTAATATCCAGAATCTAAAAAGAGCTTAAACAAATAAAAAAGCAAAAAAAAAAAAAATCCAATTTTAAAATGGGCAAAGGACATGAACAAACACTTCTCAAAAGAAGACATACAAGTGGACAATAAACATAAGAAAAAAGGCTCAGCATCACTTGCCATCAAAGAAACACAAATCAAAACCATAATGAGATGCCATCTCACACCAGTCAGAATGGCAATCATTAAAAGTAAAAAAATAACAGATGCTGGCAAGGCTGCAGAGAAAAGAGAACACTTATACACTGTTGGTGGGAATGCAAAGTAGTTCAGTCACTGTAGAAAGCAGTTTGGAGATTTCTCAAATAACTTAAAACAGAACTACCATTTTATCCAGCAATCCTACTACTGGGTATTTACCCAAAGGAAAAGAATTCATTTTATTAAAAGACACATGCAGTTTTATGTTCATCATGGCACTATTCACAATAACAACGCCTGTAATCCCAGCACTTTGGGAGGCCGAGGCGGGTGGATCATGAGGTCAGGAGATCGAGACCATCCTGGCTAACAAGGTGAAACCCCGTCTCTACTAAAAATACAAAAAATTAGCCGGGCGCGGTGGCGGGCGCCTGTAGTCCCAGCTACTCGGGAGGCTGAGGCAGGAGAATGGCGTGAACCCGGGAGGCGGAGCTTGCAGTGAGCCGAGATTGCGCCACTGCAGTCCGCAGTCCGGCCTGGGCGACAGAGCGAGACTCCGTCTCAAAAAAAAAAAAAATAAAAAATAAAATAAAAAAAAAAAAAACAAAGACATGTAATCAGCCTAGGAGCCCATCAACAGTGGACTGGATTTTAAAAATGTACATATACACCACGTACACACCCATAAAAAAGAATGAAGTCATGTTCTTTGCAGCACTGTGGATGGGACTGGAGACCATTATCCTAAGGAAATGAGCACAAGAAAAGAAAACCAAATAAATGCTGAATACACATAGACATAAAGGTGGGAGCAATAGACACTAGGGACTACTAGACAGGGGAAGAAGGGAGGGGGAAATGGACTGAAAAACCACCTACTGGGTACTATGCTCACTACCTGAGTGCTGGAATTATTTGTATTCCAAGTATCAGCATTACAAAAGATACCCATGTAACAAACCTGTGCATGTACCCCTTAATTTATAATGAAAGTTGAAATGATTTTTTAAAAATACCATTTACGATAGTATAAAAAATAAAGTATCTACAAATAAATCTAATGACAGATGTACATGACTTGTATGCTAAAACTATAAAACTGATTGAGAGAAATCATATAAGACATAAAAAGGAAGAAATAATATGACATAAAAAATGAAGGAATATAACTTTTTTATGAATTGAAAGACCCAATATCATAGTGATGTCAGTTCTCAAATTGATTTATACATTGAATATAATTCCAATCCAAACACCAAACGATTTATGAAATTTATGTGAAAATTTAATGGGCCAAGAACAGACTAGGCAATTTTAAAGAAGAAGAGGAAAGATGGAAGATGTACTCTATCAAATATTAAGACCTGTTATAGATAGATTGATATTAGTACAAGGATAGACAAAGAGGCCAAGGGAAGACAATAGAGAATTTAGAATTAGACCCCCAGTTAATTTCCCAAATATGACAAATGTTATACTACAGTACAGAAAGAGAAAAGATAGGGTTTTCAAAAAATTCTGCTGGGTCTATTAGAAGACCAGATACATGGATAAAAATGAATCTTGAACTCCTCTCCTCAAACCGTAGACAAACATTAGTTCCAGATAAATTTTCAGATGTAGGACTTGAGCTACATTTTAGATCAAATGGACCTAACAGACATGCACATTCTTCTCAAGCACCCACAGAACATTCTCCAGAATAGATCATATGTTTGGCCACAAAACAAGTCTTAACAAATCTAAGAAGATGGAAATTATGTCCAATATCTTTTCCAACCATAATAGTATGAAATTAAAAATTAGCAATGAAAGGAATTTTAGAAAATTCAGAAATATGTGAAAATTTAATAGCATGATCCCCAAAAACCAATGGGTCAAAGAAGAAATTAAAAGGAAAATATAAAAATATCTCAAGACAAATGAAAGTGGAAACACAATATAGTAAAATTTATGAGATGCAGCTAAAGCAGTTCTAAAAGGGAAATTTACAGCAATAAATGCCTATATAAACACAATAATAATCTCAAGTAAACAATCTAATGTTAGACCTGTAGGAACTAGGAAAAGAAAAAAACAAACTAAGCCAAAGACAGTAAAAGAAATGAAATAATAAAGATGATGGCAAAAATAAATAAAATAGACTAGAAAAACAATAGAAAAGATCAACAAAATTAAGAGTTGGTTTTCCAAAAAGATAAACAAAATTAACAAACCTTTAGTTAAACTAAGAAAAAAAGAGAAGACTCAAATAAATAAATAAATGAAAGGGGAGACATTACAACTGATACCTCAGAAATACAAGGAGTCATGAGACCACTGTGAGCAATTATATCCCAAAAAATGGAATAACTTAGAAGAAATGAATAAATTCCTCAACACAAGCAACCTACAAAGACTAAATGATGAAGAAACAGAAAATCTGAAAGAAAAAAACAACCCACTAACAAACAAGGAGATTGACTGAATAATAAAAAGTTCCCCAACAAAGAAAAGCCCAGGACCTGAGGGCTTCACTGCCAAATTCTACCACACATTTAAAGAACTAATATTAATTCTCGAACTTTTTCAAAAACTGAAGTAAAGGAAATACTTCCAAACTCATCTTATGAGGCTAGTATTACCCTGTTACCAAGGCCAGACAAGGACACTACAAGAAAAGACAGGCTAATATCCCTGATGAACATGGATGCAAAAATACTCAACAAAATGCTAACGCACTGAATTCAGCAGCACATTAAAAGGATAATTCACCACCATCATCAAGTGGGACTTATTCCTGAGATTCAAAGATGGTTCAACACATGCAAATCCATAAATGTAATACACTGCTTCAACAGAATGAAAAACAAAATCCAAATGATAATTTCAATAGATGCGTAAAAAATATTTGATAAAATTCTGCATCCTTTCTTGATAAAAACTCTCAAAATTAGGTGTAGAAGGAATGTGCCAGATAAAATAAAGGCCATATATAACAAACATGTAGATATTATACTCAATGGCAAAACGTTGAAAGCTTTTCCTCTAAGATTAGGAACAAAACAAGCATGCCTACTCTCACTATTTATAGTCAACATAGTTCTGGAAGTCCTAGCCAGAGTATTTAGGCAAGAGAAAGAAATAGAAGGATCCAAATCAGAAAGGAAGTTTTCTCTTTTTGCAGATGATATAATCTTATATACATAAAACCCTAAAGACTCCATCAAAAAACTGTATACTAACAAACAAATTCAGTAAAGTTGCAATATACAAAATCAGCACATGAATATCAGTATCTTTTTTTTTTTTTTTGAGACGCAGTCTTGCTCTGTCACCCAGGCTAGAATGCAGGGGCATGATCTTGGCTCACGGCAACCTCCGCCTCCTGGGTTCAAGTGATTCTCCCGCCTCAGCCTCCCGAGTAGCTGGGATTACAGGTGCCCACCACCACAGCCGGCTGATTTTTGTATTTTTAGTAGAGATGGGGTTTCACCATCTTGGCCAGGCTAGTCTTGAACTCCTGACCTCGTGATCCATCTGCCTCGGTCTCTCAAAGTGCTGGGATTAGAGGCGTGAGCCACCACGCCCGGC
Organism: Homo sapiens; assembly: GCF_000001405.40. NCBI lineage: Eukaryota > Metazoa > Chordata > Mammalia > Primates > Hominidae > Homo > Homo sapiens. Next base: position 34,778,374 of record NC_000011.10, on the reverse strand, counting down.
CAAATCAGTATTATTTCTATACACTAACAATGAACTATCTGAAAAAGAAATCAAGAAAATAATTCTATTTATTGTACCTACAAAAAAAATACAATGCTTAGGAATAAATTTAATGAAGGAGGTAAAAACCAGTATGCTAAAAACAAAGAAATATGATAAAAGAAATTGAAGAAGACACAAATAAATAGAAATATATTCCATGTTCATGGTTTGGAAGAATTAACATTGTTAAAAATCTCCACACTACCCAAAGCAATCTACAGATCCAATGCAATCCCTATAAAATTTCTAATGACATTTTTTCACAGAAATAGAAAAAAAATCCTAAAATTCATCTAGAACCACAAAAGACCCCAAATAGCCAAAGCAATCTTAAACAAAAAGAACATTGAAGGCATCACATTAACTCATTTCAAAATCTACTGCAAAGCTACAGTAATCAAAGCAGCATAGTACTGGCATAAAAATAGATATGTAGAACAGTGGAACTGAACAGAGAGCCTCAGAATAGATCCATGTGTTTACAATCAATTGATTTTTCCACAAAGATGTCAAGAACACACAATAGGGAAAATACAGTCTTTCCAAAAAATGGTGCTAGAAAAACTGGAGATCCACAAGCAGAAGAATGAAATTAGACCCTATCTCATACCATATGCAAACATTAAATCAAAATGGATTGAGCATTTAAATGTAAGAACTGAAACTATAAAACTACTAGAAGAAAACAGGGGAAAATTTCCTAGACATGGGTCTAGGCAATGGGATTTTATAGTTTTGACCCTCAAAACACAGGCACCAAAAGCAAAAATTGACAAATGGAATTACATCAAACTAAAAAGCTTCTGCACAGTAAAGGAACAATCAACAGACTAAAGAGACAACCCAAGGAACAGAAAAATACACAGATGATCCCAACTTAACAATAGTTCAACTTTATGATGGTGCAAAAGCAATATGCATTCAGCAGAAAGTGTATTTCAGTACAGTATTCAATAAATTGCATGAGATATCAGACACTTTATCATAAAATGGACCGTGTGTTAGATGCTTTTGCTCAACAGTAGGCTAACATAAGTGTTGTGAGCATGTTTAAAATAGGCTAGGCGAAGCTATGATGTTTGGTAGGCTAGGTGTATTAAATGCATTTTTGATTTGACAATATTTTCAACTTACAACAGGTTTATTGGCATGTAACCTCACTGTAAGTCAACAAGCATCTGTATATGCAAACCATGCATCTGATAAGGGATTAATATCCAAAATATATAAGAAACTCAATGCAAGAAAATAAGTAACCCAATTTAAAAATGGACCTATGACCTGGATAAATGTTTCTCAAAAGCAGATATACAAGTAGCCAACAGATATATGAAAAAATGGCTAACATCACTAATCATCAGGGAAAAGCAAATTAAAACCACAATGAGATAACACCTCATGCCTGTTAGAATAGCTATTATAAAAATGACTAAGGATAGCAAGTGTACATGAGGATGTAGAGAAAAGGCAACACTTAAACATTGTTGGTGGGAATGTAATTTACTACAGTCATTATGGAAAACAGTATGGAGGTTTCTCAGAAAATTAAAAATAGAACTAGCCTATGATCCAGCTATACCACTACTGGATATATATCCAAAGGAAAGAAAACCAGTATGTCAAAGAGATATTTGCACTCCCATGTTTATGGCAGCACTAGTCACAATAGCTAAGATATGGAATAAACCTAAGTGTCCATCAACAGATGAATGGAGAAAGAAAAGGTGGCATATACACACAATGGAATATTATTCAGCCATAAAAAGGAAGAAATCTTGTTATTTACAGCAACATTGAGGAACTGGAGGTCATTATGTTAAGTAAAATAAGCCAGGCACAGAAAGACAAATACCACACGATATCACTTATATAGAGAATCTTAAAAAGTTGAACTCACAGAAATAGAGTAAAATGGTAGTTACCATAGGTGGAGATGGCGAGATTTAGGAGATGTTGGTCAAAAGACAAAAAATTTCAGCTAGACAAGAAGAATAACTTTAAGAGTTCTGTTGTATAACAAGGTGACAACAGTTTTTATTTGTCAAATAAAAATGCTAATTTGTCAATTAAATAAAATTTTTAAATGTTTACATCTAAATGTGAAAAGGTAAAACAATAAAGCTTTTGGAAGAAATCGGATGATAATATCTTCATGACTTTCAGGTAAGCAAAGATTTCTTAAACTTGATACAAAATCAGCTAATTACAAAAGAAATAATTTATAAATTAACATGTTAAAATTAATAAAGTAGTTAAACTACTTCAGAAAACTGTTGAGCCATATCTATAAAGTGATCATAAGTATAACATATGACCCATCACTTCCATTCCTAGGTGTACATCCAAAAAAAAATATGTTTTTATGTGCATCAAAAGATATGTACAAGAATAGTCTTTGTAATACTATTCATTATAGCCCCAAACCAGAAACAACCCAAATGTCAATCAATAGTAAAATGGATAAATGCATTTTGGCATATCCACATAGAATTCCATATGAAATTAAAAAGAAAGCCCAATATGAGTGGATCTCACCACATAAATTTGAGTGAAAGAAGAATGAAAATTGTCAGATTCTAAATGGAGTCACTCAAGTCAAACCTGGCAAAATGGAGCCAGGGAAGGCCATCAAGGGAAGGTTCTCATGCATGATTTGCCTAGCAACAACAACTATCACAAGAAATTTTTTCCATACTGCAGCGACTATGTGAGTTGTGCAAGGACAGCTAGCAGCACAAGGACAGCTAGCCACGTACACAGAAACACTTGCCTGACAAATTGTTTCACAAGCCCAATCCAAAACTGCCAAAGGTCTAACTGCAACTCCAAGATTACAAGTCCTACCTAGCAACTATTGGCATTCGCCGATCAGAACTCAGCTCTCACAGGGCACTGCCAGTGCAATGAAGTGTCTTTTAAAACAACAGGTAAATCTCCTCTTTCCCCAACAAAATCCTAACCTTTTTTGTTGTTGTTGTTGTTCTCTGGACATACCAGAGGCCACCCTGCTCCATATATACATCCCGGATTACAGTGCTACTTCTCGTAGCTTATTCCCAAACAAAACCTTTCCTATTTAGAGATTCATCTCTCTATGTTTTTTATGTTGACTGAAGCCAGACACACAAAAAAGTACATCGTATATAACTCCAATAATAAAACGTTCAAAAAGGTGCAAAAAAATTGTTTTAGAAGTCAAGATACTGGTGGGAGAGATTGTATTTGGAGGGGAACCTTAAAGAGAAGTTCTGAGTGCTAGTAATATTGTTTCTTGATCTGGGTTACATGAGACTGTTCACTTTGTGTGACTTCATTGATCTATGCAGCTGATTTGTGTACTTTTTCGTATGTATGAATGTTAAAATCCAGCAAATGGTTTTAAAAAAAGCCAAGAACTTGCAAGTCAAAAGCTTTTGTTTTCATAACCATCTTCTCTAAAGTAAGCCTAGTTTCGAAGGTTAAAGCTGAACATTGACTCTCAGGGCTTCATCTTTCCCAGATTTTGATCTTAGATAAGTCACTTAAACTTCCTATGCCTCAGTTTTCTCATCAGTAAAATGGAGATAATAATAGCACTCATCTCATAAGATTGCTGGGAATATTAAATAATAGGTATAAAGTGATTGGAACCATGCCAGGCACTTAGGAAAGACTCAATAAAAATAACTTGATGTTGTTTCTGCTATTTTTTCCCAATTCTCTTCAGGCAATGGATGATTCTTGCTTGAGGAAGTAGAAATAAGAAATCACAATATGCATGTTCTGAAATATCATCTTGCTACATCTATAGAAGCTGAGACTTGGTTTTTACAAAGTCCTCTTGCCACATGTGCTTTGGACATAATGCAAATGGAAAAAAAATAGAAAACGGAAAGCTTGTGCCCTGAGGGAAACTCCCCTAATCAATGGAACCCCAAATTAGAATGAAGTGTACTTTCCAATGATCTCTTCTATAGAAACCATGGCAATAAGTAGGTCACTCAAAATGAAAAAAATTTCTTGGTCTTAGTGAAAATGCTTCAGTGAGGCAGTATTTTTGCAGAGTATTTCAGACCCCTGATTTCTAACCCTTTCTCTGCTCTTTTTGGAATTCTAATCCTTAAAAGCTAGCCCTGTTCTTGTGTTTTCTTGGATACTTACCAAGTTAATCTTCCAACATTGAAGAGTATTATGAATGTTAAGCTGCATGAAAAGGAATAATAATTTTGTCCTACCTGTAAGACTTAGGGTCACTGCTGGCTTTATAAATTCGTGTGGTTTTTCTTGGCAGCTACCTAATAGTTTTTCTAGCCACCATGACTTTAACCCCACATTACAGCATCATTGAGCTATTTATTCAGTTTAGTTCAGTTGGCTGAGGAACTGTGCCAGAAACTGCTATTAGGAAGCTAATTTTATTTACCCCAAAGCAACCAAAGGATTCTCAAAATGGTTTTCACTGCATTTTTTTTATTCTTAAAAAAATCTCACTTTTGCTTCTCTTGTTGAAGTGAGATAAGGAAACAAATTTCCAAAGAGGTTAAGTCACTCCATAATAGTAGGTGATGAGGACAGAACTGGAATTCACCATAATCCTCACCATCTCTGAGACGTTAAGATTTGAATTTAAGTTTAAAAAAATAGTGAGGTAAATGAAGAGTTGAGAGTCCATTTCAGGTGAAACTCAGAGTAAAAGTGATTTTGTGATTCTGCAATATATCATGTACAGGTGAGGGAATGTGAATTCCTTTTGGATTAGCATAGAATAGATGCAGCCTGGATAAGTCTGGGGACCATCACTGCCAGACATGGGAAAAAGTTATCCCTAAGGTGCTTTAAACACAAACACTAAGTCCTTTAATTTTTATCCAGCTTCAAAAGCTAAAGCAGGTTAATAAGGATTGTTAAGCTCCAGGGGTGAGATTGGAGTTGAGATTCCATAGACTTGGCAATAAGAAGTTGTTTTTAATGGTAATTTGTGGAACATGCCCAAGAGACTCTGGGCTGCTAGCGCCAATAGGCACAAGGGTTGGGGATATAAACAGATTTTTCTCACCAGCATTAGGCATTAATGTTATGCCAGTTATGGTGACTCAGTTCCCTACATTCAAGCAACTTATTTTCTTCCTCCTGAAGACTTTTCTTTCCTGTAATTTTATTCATCCCCAATTCTTCACTATTAAAAAGTGTGCAAGAGGTTCTTTTGATGTTTGTTTCACTCCAATCAACACATATTTCTTTCAAGTATCAGAGTGAATAGACTTCCCAAAACATGAGGAGAAATGAAACTGATCTTTGGAGTCTTTAGGAACTACCACTACTCCTTGTCCATAGATGGGTCACAGTGAGGAATGTTGACCCCAGTTTGCCTGCCAGACATTGTTCTGTGCAATAGGGGAAAATTGCTAACCTAAATTCACATAGGAAGCCAATATGTATCCCAGAACATGAATTCTAAGGCAAATAGAACTGGATTTATTACAAAATGTGCAACTTTCAGAAAGCAACTGAACATCTTACAGCCTCAGTTTTCTCTTCTGTAAAATGGATATGATAATATTTGCTTCATAGGGTTACTATTAGGAATACATAAGATCATGGATATAAGGTAGTAAGTGAGTACTGTCACTTTGTAAGCACCAGTTTAACATAGCTACTACAATATAATTATTAATTCTTTTTGAGGTGGTTGTGTGGCAAATTAATAGAAATTGTTTCATTTTACAGGGGTGAAGTGGACTGTGTTAGAGAAGAATCATTTCTGTCAATAAACCAATTTAGCCCCAGATCAGGAGAGAGAGCTCATGTCTCCAGGTTCCTCATCTTTTACCTTGGAATGGAGCCAAAACCTGGAAGGAACTTTATTCTGCCACTAATGATAGCTCCAACCCAGGTTCCTGAGGGCCCAACTTAACTGCTTTTCATCTCTGAAACCAGATCACAGTCCCCATTTTCATTTTCTAATTACCCAGTGGGCCAATTTCTACTGTTATTTCTCCTGGGGGTTGGCAAAATCTGGTTTTAAACAGTTATTCTGGGGCGGCAGGAACACCGCAGCTCTGCTCCCGACAGTACCCCACCCTAGCTGACACATATGTACCCTGCCATGCTGCCACAGCTGCTGGCACACACAAGCAAACACGGACCCCACTGCCACTGGCCCAGTGAAGCACTTTGGCCAGCACCACTCATGAGAGTGCAGTGGCCGCAGACTGGGAACACTTTGGCCTCTCAAGCACAGCAGGTTTTTAACCAGAGACCAAAGCTGGGGGCCCAGTACTGGCCCCAGAGTTAGAACATACAGCCCAGGAGTGCTGAGCTGAGCCTTGGCCCCCTAAAATCTTCCAGAAATGAAGTCAGTTGACTGAAGCCATCTTATACTACAATTAAACCCTCAAGAGCATCAAAAAAGATAAAAGCCAAAAATTCATCCAAAGGACAGCAACTTCAGGGAATATCAGCTCACAAAGATGAGAAATAACCAGTACGAGAACTCTGGCAACTCAAAAAGCTAGAGTGTCTTCTTCTTTTTTCTTTCTTTCTTTTTTTTTTTTTTTTTTTCCTGAGATGGAGTGTTGCTCTGTCACCCAGGCTGGAGTGCAGTGGCACGATCTTGGCTCACTGCAACCTCCACCTCCCAGGTTCAAGCAATTCTCCTGCCTCAGCCTCCCAAGTAGCTGGGACTACAGGTGCCTGCCACCATACCTGGCTAATTTTTTGTATTTTTAGTAGAGATGGCATTTCACCGTGTTAGCCAGGATGGTCTCGATCTCCTGACCTCATGATCCGCCTGCCTCGGCCTCCCAAAGTGCTAGGATTACAGGCGTAAGACACCTTGCCCAGCCGCCAGTGTCTCTTCTTATCTCTAAACAACCACACTAGTTTCCCAGCAATGATTCTTAACCAGGCTTAAATTGCTGAAATGACAGAAATAGAAGTCACAATATGGGTAGGAATTAAGATCATTGAGATTCAGGAGACAGTCAAAACTCAATCCAAGGAATCTAAGAAATACAATAAAAGAATACAGGAAATGAAAGATAAAATGGCCATTTTAAGAAAAAACTGATCTGATAGAGCTGAACAACTCACTTTATGAATTTCATAATGTAATTGCAAGTATTAACAGCAGAATGATCAAGCTGAGGAAAGAATCTCAGGGCTCAAAGACTGGTTCTCCAAAATAACTCAGTCAGACAAAAAATGAAGGAAAAAAAGAATAAAAAATGAAACAAATCTCTGAGAAATATAGGATTACGTAAAGAGACCAAATCTATAGCTCATTGGCATCCCTGAAAGTGAGGGAGAGAAAACTAACAATTTGGAAAACAAGTTTGAGAATATCATCCATGAAAATTTCCCCAACCTCACTAGAGAGGCCAACATTTAAATTCAGGAAATGCAGAGAACCCCTGCAAGACACTATACAAGATGACCATCCCCAAGACACATAGTCATCAGATTCTCCAAGATCAAAAAGAAGAAAAAATGTTAAAGGCAACTACAGAAGGGACAGGTTACCTACAAAGGGAACCCTATAAGGCTAACAGCAGACCTTTCAGTAGAAACCCTATAAGCCTGAAGAGATTAGGGGACTATATTCACCATTCTTAAAGTAAAGAGATTTGAATCAAGAATTTCATATCCCACCAAACTAAGGAAATGCTGGGCCTCCACCACCCTGTCTCTCAAGCAAGATCAGCTGGAAACCGGGGGAACTTTTCCCTTCAGCAAAGATGTAACCAAAAGGATCCCAGAAGCCCGAGTGAACACCTTGGATACCTACAGACCTCACCACCAGTTTCCCTGCATTCCTCACAAGCACTAAGCCCAGCTGAGGGGGATGCCTGGAGGCCACATATCTCTGTTTCCCCTGGAGAAGGAGCTGACACTGTCCCCTTTCCCTTATGGCCCATATGGCTACTGTGCTTCTCCATCTTAGAGCTGGAAGTAAGGCTGAAGTGTGTCTTGCTCTGCGGGTGATTAACCATGGCTCTCCTTCACCCCCAGGCTAAGCCACCACCAAACCACCCAGCCTGGTGGCTGACATTCTCCAGCTAGCTGCAAGCAGCTGTTACATCATTCCTCATAAGGCCAAGCAAATGTCCAGCCACTCCACCTACCCCTTTGCCTGCCCTTTCAGTCTGGAGCTGAAGTGGTACCCTGCCTCCTGAGAAACAAGTACCTTGGTCACTCAAAGCAGTCATGCCTTCCTGATACCTAAGTTGAAGTAATGCCCTGCATCCCAGGAAATGGTGCCTGGGCTGTCCAGGCTTAAGCTGAAGCAGTACACTGCGCTTTGGGGAATCAGTGTCCTGGCTGAGCTGAGCAGTTGTGCATTCCAGGACTGAGCTGATGTAGTACCCCCACATAACAGGAGAACAGAGCAGTGGCTGAGATGAGACAACTGCCCTACAGGTCAAACAACTTTAGTATACAGATGCCCTGGAGCTGGACCAGCCTTCTAGAGTCTGAGCTGCTGAGACGTCCCTCTTCCTGGGAAGTGGAGTCACCTCTGTGCTGTTCCCTGCTCCCCAGGGCCTGAACAATAGCTGTACTCCACCATTCTAGGGTACTTGCTAGTACTGCATATGGTCCCACAGAGTCTGGGATGTGGCCAAACCCCAATATCCCAGGGTCTAGAGTCACTACTATATGGTGCTACATCCTTTAGGACCCAAGTTGCCACTGAGCTCTATTGGCTCAGGTTCTCAAAGTAGTCATACACTGATACCCAACTCCAAAACCTCCAGAGGACGCCTTCCTTCCCAGAGTCAGGCCAGTGTTGTGCTCTGCCCTCTAAAGGTCGAAGGACATTTATAAACCAGCCCCCTAGACTCAAGCTGCTGGGGGGAGGGGGGTGGGCAGGAAAAGGGGTGGTACTCTGAATCACAGATCTTAGCTCAGTGGGCAACCTACATCCAAATCTGCCACAGAGAGCAAACCTGCACCTCAAGATCCAGGTGCCACAATGGGTTCATGGGACCCTGAGCCTAGGACCCTGGCCCCACAGCAACTGCAAGCACCTGCACCTGGAACCCAGTACTATTGAGGCTGTCTGTAGACCATGTCAGACCTGACACCAATAGGGATCTCCTTGGCTAAGTCTCTCCATTGTGGGGAAAAAGAGAATAATAAGAGAAAACCAAAAGCCCTTGACACCAAGGACATTAACAACCTATGCTGCTGCTGCTACTACTACTGACACAGACTTTTACAACCTAGGCCACTGAAGTGTCCACAGTTATGGCTGACATTGCACATAGCTGAAGAAGCTACACAAAGACCATATCACTGTATTCATCTGGAAACAAAGTCATCACACCTTTCCCAACCAGCATACTACAACACATCTGCAAGTGGAATTGTTTCTCTATAAAAGACTATAAAGTTTAGAAGTGGTGATTGTTCCACCAGATGCACAGACATCAACATTGGAACACAAGAAACACAAAAAACAAGGAAATATGACACTACCATAGGAAGATAATAGCTATGTACCAGACCTCAATAGAAGGAAAATCAACAAACTGACAGAAAAGGAATTCAAACGCATGATCTCAAGGAAGATAAATGAGATAAGGGGAAAAAAAAAACCAGACAATTTAATGAAATAAGTAAAACAATTCATGACATGAACAATAAATTCAACAAAGAGATATAAATTATAAAAAAAGAACCAAACAGAAGTTCTGTGGCTGAGGAACTGAACGAATAAAATAAAATACAATGGAGAGCTTAAATAACAGACTTGATCAAGCAGAAGAATCTCTGAACTTGAAGATAGGTCATTTAAAATTTACCAGTCAGAGAAAAAGAAAAAAGAATGAAAAAGAGTGAAGAATGCCTCCAAGCCATGTGGAACACGACTAAATGAACAAATTTTTATAACATTTATGTCCCAGCAGAAGAAGAGAATGGAAAAGGCTTAGAAAACTATTTAATAAAATAATAGCTGAAAACTTCCTAAAGTCTGGAAAGATTTATGAACATCCAGATCCAAGAAAACTCAAAGGTTCCCAAATAAGATCAATCCAAAAAGTCCTCTTTGAGACACAGTATAATCAAATTGTCAAAAATCAAAGACAAATAGAGAATTCTAAAAATAGCAAAAGAAGAGCATCAATTCACATATAAGGGAATCTCCATTAGATTATGAGCCTATTTGTCTGCAAAAAAACTTACAGACAAGGAGAGAATTACACGACACATTCAAAGTACTGGAAGAAGTAACTTGTCAACCAAAAACTATACCCAGCAAAGCTGTCCTTGAGAATTGAAGGAGAAAGAGTCTTTCCTAGACATGCAAAAACTGAAGGAATTCATCAACACTCGACCTGCTGTAAAAGAAATGCTCTAGAGAATCCTACATCTGGAAGTGAAAAGATATAATCACTATGATGAAAACATGCAAAAGTATAAAACTCTACAGAGCAAATACACAAAGGAGAAAGAGAAAAGAAGCAAAACATATCACAACAGAAAAAGACCAAATTACAGCAGTAAACAATGAGTGCAGGAAAGAACAAAGGAATACAAATAACCAGCAAACCACTAACAAAATGACAGGAATAAGTCCTCAATTATCAATAATAATCTTGAATGTATTAATATTAATAAAAGGATTAAAGCATGCACTAAAATATATATAGAATGCCTGAATGGATAAAATATATAACCCAACTATATACTGCCTACAAGAAACTCACTTCATCTGTGAACACACAAATAGACAGAAAGTGGAAGGATAGAAAAGGATATTCCATGCAAACAGAAACCAAAAATGAGCAGAAGTAGCTGTACTTATATCAGATAAATCAGACTTTAAGTAAAAAATTGTAAAAACAAAGACACTCATTATATAATCATAAAATGATCAATTCAACAAGAGGATATAGCAATAGTAAGTATATATTTACCCTATACCAATGTACCAAGATACATAAGGCAAATATTATTAGATCTAAGGAGAGAGAGCCCAAGACAATATTAGTTGGAAACTTCAATATCCCACTTGCAGCTTTAGACAGGTTATTTAGACAGAAAATGAATAAGGAAACATAGAATTTAAACTATAGTTTAGACCAAATGAACCTAACAGAGATTTACAGGACATTTTATCCAAACGCTATAGAATACACATTTTTTTCATCAGCACATGGCGCATTCTCTAAGAGAGATCACATCTTAGACCACAAAACAAGTCCCAACAATTTTTTTAAAATTGAAATTGTATCAAATATTTTTGTCTGACCACAATAGAATAAAGCTAGAAATCATTAACAAGAGGAATTTTTGAAATTATATAAACACATGGAAATTCAACAGCATGCTCCTGAACAATCAATGGGTCAAGAAAGAAATTTTAAAAGAAATTTTAAAATTTATTGAAATAAATGAAAATAGAAACACAACATACCCAAACCTATGGGATACAGCAAAACAGTATTAAGAGAAATTTTATAACAATAAATGCCTACATTTAAAAAGTAGAAAGATTTTAAATAAGCCAACTAATAATGCATCTCAAGGACTAGAGAAGTAAGAACAAACCAAATCCAAATTTAGCAAAAGGAAAGAAATAATATCAGAGCAGAAAGAAATGAGATTGAGACTAAAAAATTACAAAAGATCAACTAAACAAAACATTGGTATTTTGAGAAGATAAACACAATCCAACAAACATTAGCTTAACAGAAGAAAAAAGAGAAAATATCCGAATAAATAAAATCAAAAATGAAAAAGACATTACAGCTGATATCATAGAAATACAAAGGATCACTGGAGACTGTAATGAATAACTATACACCAACAAATTAGAAAACTTAGCAGAAATGGAACATTCCTGCACACTCACAACCTACCAAGATTGGACCAGAAAGAAATATAAAACAGAATAGAACAATTACAAGTAATAAGATTAAATCTGTAACAAAAAAGTATTCCATCAAAGAAAAGCCCAGTGCTTCATGACTTTACTCTTGAATTCTACAAACATTTAAAGAACTAATGTCAATTCTTCTCAAACTCTTTCAGAAAATTGAAGAGGAGGAAATTCTCTGAAACTTTTTTATGAGGGCAGCATTAGCCTAATATCAAAAGCAGACAAGATCACAACAAAAAAAGAAAACTAGAGACCAAAATATCTGATGAACTTAAATGCAAAAATCCTCAACAAGATATTAGCAAACCAAATTCACCTGCATATTAAAAAGATCATTTACCATGATCAAATGAGATTTATATCACAGATGCAAGCATGGTCCAACATACACAAATCAACAAACATGATACGTCACATCAACAGAATGAAGGACAAAAAACATGATAATCTCAACAGATGCAGAAAAAGCATTTGACAATATTCAACATCCCTTTATGATAAAAACTCTCAACAAGTTAAGTATAGAACAAACATAACTCAGCACAAGAAAGGCCATATATGACAAGCCCACAGACAACATCATACTTAATAGAGAAAAGTTGAAAGCTTTCCCTCTGAGATCTGGAACCAAGACAAGGATGCCAACTCTCATTACTTTTATTCAGCATAGTACTGAAAGTCCTAGCTAGAGCAATTAGGCAAAAGAAAGAAATAAAGGGCATCCGAATTGGAAAAGATGAAGTCAAATTGTCCCTGTTTACAGATGACATGATCTTAAATACAGAAAACCCTAAAAGTTCCATGAAAAACTCTTAGAACTAATAAATGATCAGTAAAGTTACAGAATACAGAATCAACATATAAAAATCAGTAGTGTTTCTATACACCAACAACAAAGTAGAGAAAAAAGCAATCAATAAAGCAATCCCATTTACAATAGCAACAGAAAAATAAAATACCTGGAAATAAATTTAACTAAGTTGGTGAAAGATCTATACAAGGAAAACTATAAAACACTATGAAAGAAATGAAAGAGGATACAATAAAACGGGAAACATTCTATGTTCATAGATAGAAGTAGTATTGTGAAAATGACCAGACTAACAAAAGCAATGTCTACATACTCAATGTAATTTCTATCAAAATACCAATGAAATTCTTCATAGAAATTTTTAAAAATTCTAAAATTCACATGGAACCACAAAAGACCCCAGTCAAAGCAATCCTAGGTAAAAAGAACAAAGCTGAAGACATTACACTATCAGACTTCAAAATAAACTACAAAGCTATAGTAATCAAAACAGCATGATACTAGCATAAAAAGTACACATAGACCAATGAAATAGAATAGAGAACAGAAATAAATCAATATATTTATAGCTAACTAATTTTTGACAAAAGTTCCAAGAACATTCATTGGAGAAGCAACAATCTCTTCAATTAATGCTGCTGGGAAAACTGAATATCTATATTTAGAAAAATGAGAGCCAAGATGGCCGAATAGGAACAGCTCCGGTCTACAGCTCCCAGCGTGAGTGATGCAAAAGACAGGTGATTTCTGCATTTCCATCTGAGGTACCGGGTTCATCTCACTAGGGAGTGCCAGACAGTGGGTGCAGGACAGTGGGTGCAGCACACCATGCGTGAGCCGAAGCAGGGCGAGGCATTGCCTCACTCGGGAAGTGCAAGGGGTCAGGGAGTTCCCTTTCCTAGTCAAAGAAAGGGGTGACAGACGGCACCTGGAAAATTGAGTCACTCCCACCCTAATACTGCGCTTTTCTGACGGGCTTAAAAAACGGCGCACCAGGAGATTATATCCCGCACATGGCTCGGAGGGTCCTATGCCCACGGAGTCTCACTGATTGCTAGCACAGCAGTCTGAGATCAAACTGCAAGGCAGCAATGAGGCTGGGGGAGGGGCGCCCACCATTGCCCAGGCTTGCTTAGGTAAACAAAGCAGCAGGGAAGCTCGAACTGGGTGGAGCCCACCACAGCTCAAGGAGGCCTGCCTGCCTCTGTAGGCTTCACCTCTGGGGGCAGGGCACAGACAAACAAAAAGACAGCAGTAACCTCTGCAGACTTAAATGTCCCCGTCTGACAGCTTTGAAGAGAGCAGTGGTTCTCCCAGCACACAGCTGGAGATCTGAGAATGGGCAGACTGCCTCCTCAAGTGGGTCCCTGACCCCTGACCCCTGAGCAACCTAACTGGGAGGCACCCCCCAGTAGAGGCAGACTGACACCTCACACGGCCGGGTACTCCCCTGAGACAAAACTTCCAGAGGAGCAATCAGACAGCAGCATTCACGGTTCACAAAAATCCACTGTTCTGCAGCCACCGCTGCTGGTACCCAGGCAAACAGCATCTGGAGTGGACCTCTAGCAAATTCCAACAGACCTGCAGCTGGGAGTCCTGTCTGTTAGAAGGAAAACTAACAAACAGAAAGGACATCCACACAAAAAACCCATCTGTACATTACCATCATCAAAGACCAAAAGTAGATAAAACCACAAAGATGGGGAAAAACAGAGCAGAAAAACCGGAAACCCTAAAAAGCAGAGTGTCTCTCCTCCTCCAAAGGAATGCAGTTCCTCACCAGCAATGGAACAAAGCTGGACAGAGAATGACTTTGACGAGTTGAGAGAAGAAGGCTTCAGACGATCAAACTACTCCAAGCTACAGGAGGAAATTCAAACCAAAGGCAAAGAAGTTGAAAACTTTGAAAAAAAATTAGATGAATGTATAACTAGAATAACCAATACAGAGAAGTGCTTAAAGGAGCTGATGGAGCTGAAAGCCAAGGCTCAAGAACTACGTGAAGAATGCAGAAGCCTCAGGAGCTGATGCGATCAACTGGAAGAAAGGGTATCAGTGATGGAAGATGAAATGAAGGAAATGAAGCAAGAAGGGAAGTTTAGAGAAAAAAGGATAAAAAGAAACGAACAAAGCCTCCAAGAAATATGAGACTATGTGAAAAGACCAAATCTACGTCTGATTGGTGTACCTGAAAGTGACAGGGAGAATGGAACCAAGTTGGAAAACACTCTGCAGGATATTATCCAGGAGAATTGCCCCAATCTAGCAAGGCAGGCCAACATTCAGATTCAGGAAATACAGAGAATGCCAAAAAGATACTCCTCGAGAAGAGCAACTCCAAGACACATAATTGTCAGATTCACCGAAGTTGAAATGAAGGAAAAAATGTTAAGGGCAGCCAGAGAGAAAGGTCAGGTTACCCTCAAAGGGAAGCCCATCAGACTAACAGCAGATATCTCAGCAGAAACTGTACAAGCCAGAAGAGAGTGGGGGCCAATATTCAACATTCTTAAAGAAAAGAATTTTCAACCCAGAATTTCATATCCAGCCAAACTAAGCTTCATAAGTGAAGGAGAAATAAAATACTTTACAGACAAGCAAATGCTGAGAGATTTTGTCACCACCAGGCCTGCCCTAAAAGAGCTCCTGAAGGAAGCACTAAACATGGAAAGGAACAACCGGTACCAGCCACTGCAAAATCATGCCAAATTGTAAAGACCATCGAGGCTAGGAAGAAACTGCATCAACTAATGAGCAAAATAACCAGCTAACATCAAAATGACAGGATCAAATTCACACATAACAATATTAACTTTAAATGTAAATGGACTAAATGCTCCAATTAAAAGACACAGACTGGCAAATTGGATAAAGAGTCAAGACCCATCAGTGTGCTGTATTCAGGAAACCCATCTCACGTGCAGAGACACACATAGGCTCAAAATAAAAGGATGGAGGAAGATCTACCAAGCAAATGGAAAACAAAGAAAGGCAGGGGTTGCAATCCTAGTCTCTGATAAAACAGACTTTAAACCAGCAAAGATCAAAAGAGACAAAGAAGGCCATTACATAATGGTAAAGGGATCAATTCAACAAGAAGGACTAACTATCCTAAATATATATGCACCCAATACAGGAGCACCCAGTTTCATAAGGCAAGTCCTGAGTGACCTAGAAAGAGACTTAGACTCCCACACAATAATAATGGGAGCCTATAGCACCCCACTGTCAACATATAGACAGATCAACAAAACAGAAAGTTAACAAGGATACCCAGGAATTGAACTCGGCTCTGCACCAAGCAGACCTAATAGACATCTACAGAACTCTCCACCCCAAATCAACAGAATATACATTTTTTTCAGCACCACACCACACCTATTCCAAAATTGACCACATCGTTGGAAGTAAAGCTCTCCTCAGCAAATGTAAAAGAACAGAAATTATAACAAACTGTCTCTCAGACCACAGTGCAATCAAACTAGAACTCAGGATTAAGAAACTCACTCAAAACTGCTCAACTACACGGAAACTGAACAACCTGCTCCTGAATGACTACTGGGTACATAACGAAATGAAGGCAGAAATAAAGATGTTCTTTGAAACCAATGAGAACAAAGTCACAACATACCAGAATCTCTGGGACACATTCAAAGCAGTGTGTAGAGGGAAATTTATAGCACTAAATGCCCACAAGAGAAAGCAGGAAAGATCCAAAATTGACACCCTAACATCACAATTAAAAGAACTAGAAAAGCAAGAGCAAACACATTCAAAAGCTAGCACAAGGCAAGAAATAACTAAAATCAGAGCAGAACTGAAGGAAATAGAGACACAAAAAACCCTTCAAAAAATTAATGAATCCAGGAGCTGGTTTTTTGAAAGGATCAACAAAATTGATAGACTGCTAGCAAGATTAATAAAGAAGAAAAGAGAGAAGAATCAAATAGACGCAATAAAAAATGATAAAGGGGATATCACCACCAATCCCACAGAAATACAAACCACCATCAGAGAATACTACAAACACCTCTATGCAAATAAACTAGAAAATCTAGAAGAAATGGATAAATTCCTCGACACATACACCCTCCCAAAACTAAACCAGGAAGAAGTTGAATCTCTGAATAGACCAATAACAGGCTCTGAAATTGTGGCAATAATCAATAGCTTACCAATCAAAAAGAGTCCAATACTAGATGGATTCACAGCCGAATTCTACCAGAGGTACAAGGAAGAATTGGTACCATTCCTTCTGAAACTATTCCAATCAATAGAAAAAGAGGGAATCCTCCCTAACTCATTTTATGAGGCCAGCATCATCCTGATACCAAAGCCGGGCAGAGACACAACCAAAAAAGAGAATTTTAGACCAATATCCTTGATGAACATCAATGCAAAAATCCTCAATAAAATACTGGCAAACTTAATCCAGCAGCACATCAAAAAGCTTATTCACCATGATCAAGTGGGCTTCATCCCTGGGATGCAAGGTTGGTTCAATATATGCAAATCAATAAATGTAATCCAGCATATAAACAGAACCAAAGATAAAAACCACATGATTATCTCAATAGATGCAGAAAAGGCCTTTGACAAAATTCAACAACCCTTCATGCTAAAAACTCTCAATAAATTAGGTATTGATGGGACGTATTTCAAAATAATAAGAGCTATCTATGACAAACCCACAGCCAATATCATACTGAATGGGCAAAAACTGGAAGCATTCCCTTTGAAAACTGGCACAAGACAGGGATGCCCTCTCTCACCACTCCTATTCAACATAGTGTTGGAAGTTCTGGCCAGGGCAATTAGGCAGGAGAAGGAAATAAAGGGTATTCAATTAGGAAAAGAGGAAGTCAAATTGTCCCTGTTTGCAGACGACATGACTGTATATCTAGAAAACCCCATTGTCTCAGCCCAAAATCTCCTTAAGCTGATAAGCAACTTCAGCAAAGTCTCAGGATACAAAATCAATGTACAAAAATCACAAGCATTCTTATACACCAACAACAGACAGAGAGCCAAATCATGAGTGAACTCCCATTCACAATTGCTTCAAAGAGAATAAAATACCTAGGAATCCAATTTACAAGGGATGTGAAGGACCTCTTCAAGGAGAACTACAAACCACTGCTCAAGGAAATAAAAGAGGATACAAACAAATGGAAGAATATTCCATGCTCATGGGTAGGAAGAATCAATATTGTGAAAATGGCCATACTGCCCAAGGTAATTTACAGATTCAATGCCATCCCCATCAAGCTACCAATGACTTTCTTCACAGAATTGGAAAAAACTACTTTAAAGTTCATATGGAACCAAAAAAGAGCCCGCATCGCCAAGTCAATCCTAAGCCAAAAGAACAAAGCTGGAGTCATCACGCTACCTGACTTCAAACTATACTACAAGGCTACAGTAACCAAAACAGCATGGTACTGGGAATGCACATTCTAAATTTCATTAAATAATCCATATTTTCTTTAGAATGTTACATCAGTTTGCACTCTCATCAGTGTATATCAGTATCTGTGCATGTAGGTTCCTACCCAACAAACACTTGTATTACACAGCTTTCTAATTTTTTCAGTCTATTCAGTTTAAAGCGATATCTTATTGCTTTAACTTTCATTTATTGACTATTAATGATTTTGAGCATTTCTTTACTTCTCTATAAACTTTTAAATTTCTTGTGTAATTGTTCATAAGAAATTATGTTCCTGTAGGAACTTCTCTTTTCTTACGGTAGAATCACAAGGATATCATTTATGCCTTTTCCATTTTAGATTTTGAAAGAATCTTTATCTTGCCTATCAGCTGCCTATTAACTTTGTCTGTAATGCCCTTTGTTAAAAAGAAGTTCATACTTTTGTTCATAAACTCTTTTCCTGGTCCTAGATTGCAAAGATTTTTTCCCTAATAACTTGATGTTTTATCTTTCATATTTAGATCTTTAATTTTTCTGGAGTCTCCTTAGATGGGGATACTGTTCTAATTTTCTCCACATGGTGAATCACTTTCCCCTACTCCATCTCTAAACAATCTGGCTGTTCCTTATAAAATTGCAATCTTCCCTTATGCCATATATTAGGCTCCATGTACCTATGGGTCTGACTCTTGCCTCTCCCCCCTGTTTCATGAATCTGTTTCTCTGCTTTGGTACCAATATCAAACTATTTTTCATTACTACCAGTTTGTAATTCTTCTCAATGAGGGGTAAGGCAATTCTCTCCTTCTTCTTTTCTAAACTTGACTTAATTAATATGGATCTCTCTTCCTCCAACATTTTGGAATACATGTTTCAAGTTCTTCAAAAAGCCCAGCTGGGATCTGACAGCCTTTAATTTATAGATTAACATGGGAATAACTATTACCATTAAGATACAAGGTTGCCCATTCAAGAACATGGAATATTTCCATTTATTCAGATCATTTTTATGTTTTCCATTAGAATGTTAAAGTTGTCTTCATAGAAGTTATGCATATCCTAAGTTAAATAATTTGTAGATACCTTATAATCTTTGCTGCTTTGTGTATGTCCCTTAATTTGGATGAGGCTTGGGTTCTGGATCTTGCTGTGTCACTGATTATGCTGCATGATTTTAGGCAAGTTATTCACTGCTTCTCAGTACCAGTTTTCTCACCCATTAAAGGACCGGATTGAAGTTTATGTTCTTCATGGTAACACGGGTAATAACAATAACAAACCCAGATTAAAGTTTCATAATATGCCAGCCACTGTACTGGGCACACTCCCTGCAGATATATCGCCTGATAGGAAGGTGACTACATGTACAGCACTTAGCATGCCTGGTACATTGTAAGCACTCAATACATGGTAGCAATCATGGTGATCTTGCCTATTTAAAATTGAGAGTTGGAATCTTAGAGAGGTGAAGCAATTTGCCCAGGCTCACACAGCTGGACTGAGATGTAAGAAACACTAACACCTGGAGATGATTCTCTTCCAAAGCAAAGACTCTGTCAGCCCTACGGTCTCGAAGGATTTGAGTTACCACCTCACAAATGCTGGTTATCTTGACTTCTGGAGCTCATGCCAGACTCCTGAATACCAGAGGCCATGAATGACGTCCAGGGCTTCATTGTGCAGCTAGGGTTACCATCAGCTCTGGCCACATGCGTTTGCTCTTGTAAAACATCTTTTTTCCTAGAAGTCCAATGTGTTCCTGGATGTCGCTGGCTGATAGTGGAGTCAGATAACAGCCTGGGAAGGCAGCCGATAATTACAGGACAGGAAGTGGGTGCCATCCAGCCAGCTGGATGAGAATCAGCACCTCTCTCAGAGACTGTGCATGAAGATTGAGGTGGGTACGGTGGAAAACTCATCTCTCTCCTCTCCCCAGAAGCCAGGGCAGGCCTAGCCCATAGCCAGGTAGAAGAAGGGAATGCTGTGAGAGCTACTGATTGATCATCCTGCTTCCAGATTCTAACCCCTCTGCCAAGAATCTTCCGAATGTGACTGATAGGGAGCCAACTTAAACTAGTGTAACTAAATACAGAAATGTTACTGGCTTAAGGAGTAGAGATGATTTTAGGTAAGATGGATCCAGGATGTTAGAATTATTTCACTAGTTCTCTTCCCTACTCTCTCCTCCCCAACCCACCTTTCTTTTCCTCCTTTTTTCAGGCAAGCTCTCTCTGAAGGAGGAAAATACAGCCACTGGCAGCTCCAGGGATGTCTTCCTTAGGGCAGGGTCTCTTTTTCAGTAACCATCTCAATTTCTGTAAAGGACTCTGATTAGTTCTGCGTGAGTCAGGGGTCCGCACAAAGAAAATGGAAAGTTGGGCCATGTGATTCAGTCTTGTAGAGTGTGAAAGAGAATTTCCCCAAAGAAAGATGGAGGGCCAAAGGGAAAAAAACGTAGTCGATGTCCACTGCCCTTCCTATGCTATTCCCCAAAGATCTGGTGGGCACATAGAGCCCTAGCTGACTCCATGACCTATTTGGTATCATTTCCTGCCATCCCCATTCTCCTACTACCCATCCTGTGCTCTAGACACTGGTTCACGTGCTATTCAACTGTTTGAATAGCACATCTTCACATCTCTGAACCTCTGTGCTAGCTGTTCCTCTGCCAGAATGCAATGTGGTCCGTTCCTTCCTAGAACTCTCTCTCTCTATGTTCGCCCCCACCCCCAAGCAAATTAAGTACCTTCCCACAGCAATATATGCCAGTTTATTCTATCACATAGTAATTACTTTTCCAAGAAGTTCTTATTTGTCTTCAGGCTAGACTTGAGGTTATTGAGAGAAGGAATTAATAGTGTCTGATTCATCTTTGTGCAAGTAAACGTGACTCTATAGCATACACTATTTATTTACCCAGTATCCACCTTCTCCTTCCTTGCAACTGAACTCTGACTTGGAGGACTTTTTGCCCAGCTAAATGTTCACTAGCTCAGCCTTCCTTGCAGCCAAGAATTCACATATGACACAGTTCCTGGCCCATGAGATATACATTCATGCATTGCTTAACAACAGGGATACATTCTGAGAAATGCATCATTGTGCAAACATCATAAAGTGAGCTTACACAGACATAGATGGCATAGCCCACTACACACCCAGGCTATATGGTACATCCTATTGTTCCTAGGCTACAAACTTGGAAAACATGTTGCTGTACTGAGTACTGTAGGCAATTCTAACACCATGGTAAGT